>NC_000001.11:347968-535988 GCF_000001405.40 Homo sapiens | reverse complement strand
CAGTTCTAACCTTCAAAAACCAAACCTGTTTGTGAGATCTTCAAATACTACTGTAGACCCCAGTGTTTATTCATTAAATTTTTTAAATATTTGTTTTATTTGGAATCAAAGTATTTGTAATTTTAGTGTTTGTATTAATATCAGGGAGAAATGTTTAAATCTGTCTTATGCCATATGTGCCTCTGGCTTATTGCCCAATTAATTGTAGTCTCAGGCTAAACTTTGGTTTCTGTCTTTAATTTTTGTCAGAAGAAATATAACTGATCTCAAAACATCTGCTTTTATTGTAGGGGCTCGTGCTGCCGTCTCCATTCTTCTCTCTTTTCTTGCAATCTGGGTGGAAGTTCTTTAATATGAACATTTCAACCACCTTCATTCTACCATGTCCACTATCAGCACATTCAAACTGATCCAGCCAAGGCTGTCATCTTAGGCCAGGGATTTTTTAGGAATCTATTTTGCTGTGATGCGGCTGGCACCCCTTTGACTCACTGTATCACCCCAGGGTTCTTTTCATTTCAGAAGCCCAAGAGGGCAGAAAAAGAAGTAGGTGAGCAATTAAACACTCTGAGTCAGGAGCGTCTCCCCTTGCGTTAAGCAATGCTGTAGAACATCGATGTTCTATATCGATGTTGGTGACCTTGGTACCATTTTGTCCACTTGATTGGAAAAGCCAGTCAATAATTTCAGGTCACTGTTGGCCTTAGAAGAAGAGCCCAAAGGCAACAAGCAAAGGCGCTGGTGTCCAGTCGCCTTCTAGAAGCATTTTCACTTTCCCTTAAGGTTTCCCTTGATGAACATAGAAGTACTGTATGTAGAATTGACCCAGTGCTGCCCTGGCAACTTTGTATATTAGGCCAAATTTACATTTCTTACCTTTATGAGAGGCACCCTGGTAGGCTAGTGGAGTTACACACAAAGTCTGATCTCAGCTGCACTGTCCAGAAATGCAACACGGTCCAATCAAATAACATTCTCTGAGCCTGTTTCTTTAGCTGTGAAAGAAGAATAACATACCCATCTAAAAAGGCAGCTTATTGTATTTGATTGGTCTTTTATTTTCTATGAAACTGTGTTTAACACAGTAATTATTTTCATTTGTGTACTACATTTGTGTTGTGTTTTTGGTTTTAGTTTTGTTTTTGAAATGGAGTCTTTTTTTTAGTGGTTTTTTGTTTTGTTTTGTTTTGTTTTGTTTTTGAGATGGAGTCTTTCTATTGTCACCCAGGCTAGAGTGCAGTGGCGTGATCTCCGCTCACTGCAACCTCCACCTCCCAGGTTCAAGTGGTTCTCCTGCCTCAGCCTCCTGAGAAGCTGGGATTACAGGTGCCCACCACCATGCCCAGCTAATTTTTAAAATATATTTTTAGTAGAGATGGGGTTACAACATGTTGCCTGGGCTGGTCTCAAACTACTGACGTCAAGTGATCCACCTGCCTTGGCTTCCCAAAGTGCTGGGATTATAGGCATGAGCCACCGCGCCTGGCTTGTTTTAAAATAAGGGTTTCTTGGCTAGGCATGGTGGCTCACACCTGTAATCCCAGCACTTTGGGAGGCCAAGGTCAGTGGATCACCTGAGGTCAGGAGTTCGAGACCAGCCTGACCAATATGGAGAAACCCTGTCTCAACTGAAAATACAAAATTAGCCAGGCGTGGTGGTGCATGCCTGTAATCCCAGCTACTCAGGAGGCTGAGGAAGGAGAATTGCTTGAACCCAGGGGGCAGAGATTGCAGTGAGCTGAGATCGCACCATTGCACTCCAGCCTGGGCAACGAGCAAAACTCTGTCTCAAAATAAAAAAAAGATTTCTTAAAATGATATTTTCAGTATTTTATAGATGATGTGTAAGCAGCAAGCTTAATAGGATGTTACCCGACACTTTGCGAGACTGGCAGCTGATTTGATCCAGATGTCTCTAATTCTTTTTTCTTTTTCTTTTTCTGTTTTTTTTTTTTGACAGAGCCTTGCTCCATCCCCCATGCTGGAGTGCAGTGGCACGATCTCGGCTCACTGCAACCTCCACCTCCCGGGTTCAAGCGATTCTCCTGCCTCAGGCTCCCGAGTAGCTGGGATTACAGGCGCGCGCCACCATGCCCAGCTAATTTTTTGTATTTTTGGTAGAGACAGCATTTCACCATGTTGGCCAGGCTGGTCTCGAACTCCTGACCTTAGGTGATCTGCCTGCCTGGGCTTCCCAAAGTGTTAGGATTACAGGCGTCAGCCACTGTGCCTGGCCCAGATGTCTCTAATTCTAACATGAGATGTATTGCAGGATCATAGCAGAGTGAGTTGCTGATGTATCCAGAAGGAAACGAGCATGGAACACTCACGACAGCTGTCCTGAGAAGTGTGTGTGTGCTGTGCTTGAATATCTCACTGCTCATTTATACACAGGCTTTCTGGTGACTGAGTTAACAGTATCTGTTTCATAAATAATGTAGCCCTCTTTCTTTCTTTCTCTCTCTCTCTTTTTTTTTTTTTTTTTTTTTTTTTTTTGAGACAGGGTCTTGCTACCCAGGCTGGAGTGCAATGGTGCAGTCTCAGCTCACTGCAACTTCACCATGCCTGGCTAATTTTTTCTTTTTTTTTTTTTTGAGACGGAGTTTCGCTGTTTTTGCCCAGGCTGGAGTGCAGTGGCACAATCTCGGCTCACCACAATCTTTGCCTTTTGGGTTCAAGGGATTCTCCTGCCTCAGCCTCCCGAGTAGCTGGGATTACAGGCATGTGCCACCACACCCGGCTAATGTTGTAGTTTTAGTAGAGACGGGGTTTCCCTATGTTGGTTAGGCTGGTCTCAAACTCCTGACCTCAGGTGATCTACCCGCCTCGGCCTCTCAAAGTGCTGGGATCACAGGCGTGAGCCATCACTCCTGGCCTAATTTTTGTATTTTTAGTAGAGAGAGGGTTTCACTCTGTTGGCCAGGCTGGTCTCGAATTCCTGACCTCAAGTTATCTGCCTGCCTTGGCCTCCCAAACTGTTGGAATTACAGGCATGAACCACCATGCCTGGCCAGCTCTATTTCTTTAAGCCTACATGTTTTGCACTTGTTAAAAGTATTTGAACATACAATTACTCAGCTTCCCTTGTTTACGCGTGAATTTTGTAGAATCTTAAATATTTTTTCCAATCTAAGCTTTATTTTATCCCGTTTCTTCTATATTTGTATAACTTTAGGTGGCTATCTTCATTGAAAGTTTTTTCTCAAAAGCCTTAAGATAGAACGTAGTTCTTGGCAGCAATTTGAAAGTTATTTGAGGAGAAGGGGAGACTTACAATGATGATTCAAATGAAGGAAACTAAAAAGTAATGAAGCAAGGCAGAGGAAAAAGCAGTACTCACTTGAGCACATCCCAAAAGAATAACATTTCAAATGTAACTAGAAAAAAGTATGCTGAAGTTCGCAATACAGAAATAATTATTAATAAGATAGCTTTAAAGCCCTGCTCAGCTTTTGAATGTTGGGAATTGACCCAGAGGTGGCTGTAACCTAAGATGGTTCCTTCAGTAATGACCATTTTTTCTTTTTCAAGATGATGATTATTCCCCACCTTCTAAGAGACAAAGACCAACGAGCCACCACAGCCACCAGTCCCAGAACCTGCCAATGCTGGGGAACGGAAAATGAGGGAGTTCAACTCTGGTAAGTTCTCAGCGAAATCCATGACCTTTTCCTTTATCTTCTGGACTCTCAGTGTGACTGATGAAAGTTACCACATGCTCTGCAGGGGGAAATGGTTTAGCATGTGTTACTACATCTTAATCACATCTTTGTAAAGCCAGGAGCATTTTACAAGTCACGTTACAGACATTGTTTAAACATAGTCTGTATTTACCAAAGTATAGGACATTGTATCATCTCATATTAATTAGTTAGTTGGCTCAAAATTAGTGCTAATGACTTAGTAATTCAGTGATTTCTGTTAGCTTTAAAACCTTTATTTCAGAACTATTTCACCTCTTGGTTTTCATTTTTGCGGTGTGTCACTGCCTGCTGGCTGCTAATTTATTAACTCCCAGTGAATCATGTCCTGTGAAGGGACTGAATATTAGTGGCAATGTATGTTGATGATTTGTATTTTGAATAAATAGTTTGAATACATAGAACATTAAGCTTGTATACATTTTGAAAATAGTATTTTAATATTCTACTGTGTCATAGTTACAATGATTGGATATATATTGAATTTATATGTACTTTAAGTTGTTATATGTTTATGGTCTTTAGCATTCTAACGTGCAATTGTATATCTGTTAAGTCTTTTTTATTTTCGAGATTAGACTGATTTATTGAGGCGTCTGTTTGATGCCACATTAAGTGGCCCAGGCTTTGTGTAGGGGTTTAGGTTAAAGCAGGAAGAAGGGTGGTGAGAGGCGGGGCACCAGGGTTAGGTTGGAATACCTGGGGGTGCTCTGAGGCTCCCCAAGTTTCCCTGGTCTTGGCCGGCTGTGCTGCTGGCCTGGGCATCTGATGGGCCTGCAAGGGTGGTCCAGGGGCTAGGGCAGGGACTTTGGAGTCACGCCGTTGGCTTTGAATCCAGACTCCTACACTTGGTAGCTGTGAACTCTCCATGCCTCAGGGACCTGCAGAACTGAGCTCTGTCTGAGCCAGGTTCCATCCAGGCACTGCGCATCCATCCAGAGGGGCACTGCCTCAGGCTGCTCGCTGTTCACTGCCTTCTCAAGCAGACCCTTGTCTCCTTCTAGGCCCTCACAATCCAGTGGAGGAGACGAAACTCATCTGCCTCTGTCCCTCTGGGCACGCCTCATGCCAGGTGCATCTGTGGACAGGGGCCATGCTCCTGGGCTTCCAAAGTTGGAGAGAGCTGCCAGGCTCAGGTGGGTACATCACAGCAGCTGCTGCCCTCTGAACACAGTGACAAAAGAACACTCTGGGCCTGGAGCCCTGGTCTGGGGCATTGGGCAAGGCTGTTGCACTTCTCTGATCCCATTTCCCCATCTGGAAAGTGCGCTGATTGTATCTCCCTGTGGGCACTGAGGGCTCAGTGTTAGTTTGAGAGCCAGCATCTGGGGTTTGGGCTGTAATTCCCCGTCAGCCCCATAGCTGCGGGGAACCAGGGACTTTGTTGGGATTACCCTAGGCATCAGTTTAGCTTCCTGCCCCTGGCTTGGGCTCAGCACCTGAAGTAGTCTAGGGGGTAGGTGGTGCTGGTGGGGGCTGGGGCTTTTACCCAGACTGAGGTCACACCCAGAGCCAGAAGTCTTGGTGCCTGCTCTGGGCAAAGGTGCCAGCCTGTGTGACAAGAGCGAAACTCCGTCTCCAAAACAAAAACAAAAAACCTTGCATCATTTCAAGGGGCTCACACCTCCCTAAGGGCCTGGTAATTGGCTGGCTCTGGCCTGCATCTGGCCCCGAGGGTGTAGGTAACACCCCACCTTACCTGGTTTCTTCCTGCCAGGGCCAATCTTCAGACCTCAGGACTTTACAGCCTATCCCACCTCCCCTCTGGCCAGCCTTGAGCCCTTGTGGGTCCAGCACTTTTTCCAGGCTGTCTCCTGGTTATCCTTCTGCCTCGAGGCCTGGCTCATGCTGCTCCCCCTCCCACTCTCCAAGACCCACAAGGACCACTCCACACCCAGCTCAGCCCCGTCCCCTCAGATAGTCCTTTCTCTTTCCTCAGGTGGCCAGGTGCATATCTTGGTGTGAGGACCTTCGCTGTATCTGGGAATGCCTACTGGTTACCTTGGTAACAGAGAACAAGGCATTTACCTGATATGAGTGTCTTGGTTCACTGTCTACATGGCTAGGGAGGGAATCAATAATAGGCTTTTCACTTGCTGCAAGGGCCGGTTCTCCTGGCCCCATGGCTCTAGGGATGGAGGACGCTGCAGGAGATGCAGCGCTCACTTCCTAGCTGAGGACTGTGGGTCATCTCAGGGCGATTTCACAGTCCCCACATGCCCCACCCCCTCAGCTCTGCAAATACCAAGCAGTGCAGCCTGCCTAGGGGATGATGGGCTCGAGAGTGCCCAGGTAGTGCCCAGAGTGCCCTTGGCAGGCCCCTCACCTGGCTGCTTCCACAGCTCTGTAGCAAGAGTTCTAACCTTTTTTCACCGTGAAGCCTGCTGAGAATAAGAGCTGTGGACTGTTTTCCCAGAAAGGCATGTACATGCTCTCCACACAAAACCTTTCACTGTGGCCAAGCACAGTGGCTGATGTGATCCCAGAACTTTGGGAGGCGGAGCCAGTCGGATCACCTGAGGTCAGGAGTTCAAGACCAGCCTGCCCAACATGGCGAAACCCTGTCTCTACTAAAAATACAAAAAATTAGCCAGGCGTGGTGGCAGCCACCTGTAATCCCAGCTACTCCAGAGGCTGAGGCAGGAGAATCACTTGAACCTGGGAGGCGCAGGTTGTAGTGTGGTGAGATCACGCCACTGCACTCCAGCCTGGGCGACAGGAGCGAAACTCTGTCTCAAAAAACAAAACAAAACAAAACCTTGCATCCTTTCAGGGGGCTCACACCTCCCTAAGGGCCCAGTAATTAAACCCTTTGGGCCTGAGGGTGAGAAACTTTGTCTCAGTTCTTCCCCAAGTGATCAGCCCAGGGGTAAGGAAGGAGAAGCCAGAAAGCAGGACCCATGAGAAGGGCCCCCTCCTGGAGTTTGAGGCCCACTCCCTCCTGCCCCTGCCTCTCCTCTGTCCAGGACTCCTCCCTGCTCTGCCCCACTCCTGGGGCCATAACCATGGGGAGCTGTGGTTTTCTACAGGCCCCTGGGCACAAAGTGGGCAGGCTCACCTGGAGGCGATCAGAGTAACATGGCAGGAAGTGAGGGGGAAAGCCGCCCTGGAACTGCGCCTCTCTGCCCCCTGACGTCACTGGCGTGCACTCCTCCCTCCCCTCAGGCAGTGGCATGAGTTCCATGTGAGCGCTGTCCTGCTCCCTCTGCTGCCTCTTTTTTTTCTTGGGGCTGCCATAACACTTTCCCTTCCCCAGCCCTGCCAACCTGGTGGGACATTGGGCTTCCCTCTCACAGGGTCCTGGGGACAGGTCCATCCTTTATCATACCCACAGAGAGACCGTTTTTTTCTTCAGAACCTGGGGAGCAGCCAGGTTCCATGAGTTAAATGCAGATCTGAACCAAGCTGGGATTGGGGTACACACTCTCCTCTACTGAAAAGTAGCTAGGGATTCCAACTAGGTGAGAAGGAGAGTGGGGCAGAGCCAGACCAGACAAGGACTGATCACCTGGAAAAAGCCTGCCATCAAAGGTCTTGGCAAATGCTGGGTGCAGTGGCTCACTCCTATAATAGCAGCACTTTGCGGGGCTGAGACAGGTGGACTACTTGAGGCAAGGAGTTCGAGTCCAGCCTGGGCAACATGGCAAAACCGCATCTCTACTAGAAATACAAAAATTAGCTAGGCATGCTACACTCCTGTCATCCCAGCTACTCAGGAGACTGAGGCAGGAGAATCACTTGAACTGGGGAGGCAGAGGTCGAAGTGAGCCGAGATTGTGCCCCTGCACTCCAGTCTGGGAGACAGAGTGAAACTGGCCTCAAAAAAAAAAAAGAATATGGCCTTGGCAGAGAGGGGCCAGCCCAGTAGTGCCTTCCCTTGGGTTTCTCCTGGGTAGGCCTCTGCCATGAGGAGGTGCTTCCTTCTGCCTGTCCGTGGCCCACAGCAATGGAATGTCTGTTTCTGGGGGTTGGGTGGGAGAGTGCTGGCAGAACTGGAAACCTTCAGGTGGGGTTTTTTTGTTTTGTTTTGTTTTCGAGATGGAGCGTCGCTCTGTCACCCAGGCTGGAGTGCAGTGGTGGAATCTCAGTTCACTGCAACCTCTGCCCCGCTGGGTTCAAACAATTCTCCTGTCTCAGCCTCCTGAGTAGCTGAGATTACAGGCATGTGCCACCATGCCCGGCTAGTTTTTGTATTTTTTGTATAGATGGCATTTCACCATGTTGGCTGGGCTGGTCTCGAACTCCTGACCTCAAGTGATCCACCCATCTCGGCCTCCCAAAGTGCTGGGATTACAGGCATGAGCCACTGAGCCCAGCCCCTTCAGGGGGGTTTTGAGGCTTCACTACAATACTAGTTTCCTGTGGCTGCTGCAACAAATTACCACACACTTAGTGACTTAAAACAACCAAAATGTATTCCCTTACAGGTCTGAAGGCCAGAATTCTACAGTAAGTCCTACTGAGTCAAGGTGGGAGCAGGGTCGGTAGCTTCCGAGGCTCTGCGGGAGAATCCGTTTCCTGGCCGTAGAGGTGGCCTGCACTCCGCAGCTTGTGCTGCCCGTCTCGAATGACTGGAGTTTCCTGCTTCTGTCACTACACCTCCCACCCTCTCCATCACCTGCTCTGCTCTTACAAGGATCCGAGTGAGTACATCAACCCCAAAAGCCAAAGACCCTTAACTTCATTATATCTGCAAAGTTCCTTTTGCCATATAAGGTCATGTTCACCAGTTCCCGGGATTAGGATATGGGCATCTTGGGGGCATCAGCCTGCTACAGCTAGGCTGCAAAACTGTTACACCCTCCTGGTGTTTCAATGATTGGGAGAAAAAGGGTTGGCATTTTTTGCTTAGGGGTCCCTCTTAAACTTGTATCTGTAAGGTCGGGGGTCCCTCTTAACCTTGTGTTTTTGTTTTTGTTTTTTTTGAGGTGGAGTCTTGCTCTGTCATCCAGGCTGGCAGTGGCGTGATCTTGGCTCACTGCAATGTCTGCCTCCTGGGTTCAGGTGATTCTCCTGCCTCAGCCTCCTGAGTAGCTGGGACTACAGGCGCCCGCCACCATGCCCTGCTGTTTTGTATTTTTGGTAGGGACGGGGTGGGGGTGGGGCTAGGGAGGGGGGTTTTGGCTATGTTGCCCTGAGCTCAAAGTGATCCGCCTGCCTCTGCTGCCAAAGTGCTGGGATTACAGGCCTGCACCACTGCACCCGGCTGCTGTAAAGTCTTATTTCACACAGCTGAGACATGTTTTAGGAAGTTTGCTAAAAGACCCCTGGAGACCGCCTCATTGTGACCTCCCTGTTATTGTGTTTAATTTGATTGAACTTTTCTGCCCTCCTGCTTTTCAGCTTCTCTAATAGTCTCCCATTAAACCAATTCTAAGAACCACCAAGAAGGGGAAATTTTTTCTTGAAAGCAGTAAAATGATATGGACTGTTAGAATGTAAAATATATGAAATCAGTCATTATATGTTAGTGCTGCTCTGACATAGGGACGTGTTATTGAGAAGCAACTTTTGCTTGGTTTTCAGAGAAATGGAATCATCGTTTCGCTGATCTACGTAAACAAACTGAAGAATTGTCTGAAAGAAAATATGGTATGTCTAAACTGGAGAAGTCTTGTAATCTTAGGTTCATGGGCGTTTACACAGTGGAGTTACTGTTCATCATGGGGGTACCGTGGACAATCCCAGGGCTGCCGGCGAGTCATGCCATCCTTACATGTTTCTCCTTGTAAGGTGCTTTGTAGTGTCTACACACTTTGTTTCTAGATTGCTGCAAAGCTGAGGAAAAGTTGTATTTCTTTAGTTATTAGTTAGCATTTCTTTTAAACTTTCAGTATGGAGATTGGAAATTTATTTACATATTTATTGCAAAGCCCTGGATCTTAGGAATTTCATTGAATTATTTATTTATTTTTTTTGAGACGGAGCCTCACTCTGTCGCCCAGGCTGGAGTGCAGTGGCACGATCTCGGCTCACTGCAACCTCCGCCTCCCGGGTTCAAGCAGTTCTCTGCCTCAGCCTCCCGAGCAGCTAGGATTACAGGCACCAGCCACCACGCCTGGCTGATTTTTGTATTTTTAGTAGAGACGGGGTTTCATGATCTTGGCTAGGCTGGTCTTGAACTGCTGACCTCCTGATCCACTCACCTCAGCCTCCCAAAGTGCTGGGATTATAGGTGTGAGCCACCATGCCTGGCCAAATATTATTTTTTTAAATGAATTGTTTCTCTTAGTCTGCTTTGTTAAATTTGGAATTCATCTGGGCGTGGTGGCTCACACCTGTAATCCCAGCACTTTGGGAGGCCAAGGCAGGCAGATATCTAGGTCGGGAGTTCGAGACCAGCCTGACCAACATGGAGAAACCCCGTCTCTACTAAAAATACAAAATTAGACGGGTGTGGTGGCGCATGTCTGTAATCCCAGCTATTCGGGAGGCCAAGGCAGGAGAATCGCTTGAACCCAGGAGGCAGAGGTTGCAGTGAGGCGAGGTTGGCACCATTGCACTGTAGCCTGGGCAAAAAGAGCAAAACTCCATCTCAAAATAAATAAATAAATAAAATGTTCAGTACTCACCAAGGTGCCCCTGTTGTCTCTACTTTTATCTTGATGCATCACTGAATTGATGTTAGATTTCAAATTCATCATTACACTGATACTATTCTATCCTGAAGCCACCTTTATATAGTGATGAAAGAAATTAGCGATTTGTTATTATCCTCTCTCTGTTGGTATATATCAAATACTCACCTAAAAAAGAGCAACAACCAGTGGAAAACATGATGTTTTTATTTGGGTGACTATTTACTTGTAACCTACTAGCAAACTATAAAATTGTATGATATGCAGAATTTTAACTGAATTGCTTTAAGTGAACATTTAAACATGATAAACAATATTGATGGTATTTATGTTAATATACTTAAAATGAACATTTTTCTTCATCATGAGTAATATAACCTACTCCTCAATGAAAACCTAGCACTAAATTTGCTAATGTATTCAATAACATTTCCATAATATTTTTAGTTACATGCTTAAGGTTCTCTTAGTGTTTCTCCCACTTTTTAATAGCTTATGCCTTTTTCACCTTTGGTTTTTTTTTGGTTCATTTTAAAGCAAAAATCTCACAACATGTGATATCTGGAAACACTGTAACCTAGTGGTAAGACCATAGGCCCTGGGGACACAGCCTGGCCACGTCTCTTCTCCTGTCTGAGCTTTAGTATCCTCTTTTGTGGTCATGAGAACTGAAGATCTGTCCCGAAGATTTGATAAGATAGTAAAGTGCTTCACATAATACCAGACATATAAATACACAGTAAATGCTTCCTTCTTATATTTTTATTGATTGATTGATGGAGACAGAATCTTGCTCTCTTGCCCAGGCTGGAATGCAGTGGCGTGATAATGGTTTCTGCAACCTCCACCTCCTGGGTTCAGGCAATTCTCCTGCCTCAGCCTCCCGAGTAGCTGGGATTACAGGTGCCTGCCACCATGCCCAGCTAATTATTGTACTTTTAGTACAGACGGGGTTTTACCATGTTGGCCAGGCTGGTCTCGAACTCCTGACCTCATGATCTGCCTGCCTCGGCCTCCCAAACTGCTGGGATTACAGGTGTGAGCCACTGTGCCCAGCCTGTCTTTTCTCTTCACACCCGCAGTTCATGATGAAATATTAAATATGTACTAGTGGATATTACTTTGCTGAATATTGCCTAATGAATATTAAGTATTTATTCTCACCTTTCAGACATGAACTTATGAATTCAACAGGTGAAGATTTACAACTTGATAAATCAACTTTGTCAGGTACGTCTTCAGTCAAGTCAGATTAGAAGATTATGTGAGGTAATTAACACTTAACATTGATTTAATGGTAGCTTCCACATGAAATAGTATGCCTCTAAGTATTAATTATGTCCTAGGACAGGAGAATTCATGTTGTCAAAATTCTCATACTCTCTAGAACAATAAACTCATTTTCTTTTTATTAGTAAATATTGCATTTATGGGTAGACAAAACTGAAAGAACAATATTTGTTCTACTTTTGAGATGCAAGATTCATCTGGCATAATGCATTGAACAGGTTATTATTGAAGTCTACACCAGTCAACTGAATAAGCATTCATCAAATGTCCATGATATGCAGGACATAAGTTTTCTTTTAGAGTATGGAACCATGCATATTATCTTTTAATTAGATGATTTAGTTAGATATGTTTTTAAAGAACTAGAAATATAATTGTTTTTCTTGTTTTGGCTCTGGAGTGGAGTGGGGACGAAACAGAATGGATTCACACTTGTTTAGATTTACTAAAATGGAAAGATTGCAGCAAGATCATATCCCTAGTCTCCCTATAGCAAATGTCACCTGCTAGCTGTTTTTTTTTTTTTTTTTTTTTTTGGAGGTTGAAGTTTTGTTCTGTCACGCACGCTGGAGTGCAGTGGTATGATCTCAGCTCATGGCAAGCTCACCTCCTGTGTTCAAGCAATTCTCCCTGCCTCAGCCTCCTAAGTAGCTGGGATTACAGGCCTCTGCCACCACGCCTGCCTAATTTTTGTATTTGTAGTAGAGTTGGGGTTTCACCATGTTGGCCAGGCTGGCCTTGAACTCCTGACTTCAGGAGATTCACCCGCCTCAGCCTCCCAAAGTGCTTGGGATTATGGGTGTGTCACTGCACTTGGATTTAATGGGATATTTCACTACAGACTTCGGTAAACAGAATATTAGCATTTTTGGTGTTCTTTTTATTTTACTCATACTGTTTTTCTTTGGACTCAATCACAATAACAGAATTAAAGATCAAAGTGTAAAAGTTAAAGACCAGTACAGATTCAATAATTATTCTTTTCTACATACTGTGTTTAAATGATATCCCTTTTTCTTTTTTTTCTTATAGCTCGAGCTGTAAAAGCCAAAGGTCCGGTGATGATCCCATACCCTTTTTTCCAGTCTCATGTTGAAGATTTTTATGTAGAAGGCCTTCCCAAAGGAATTTTTTTTTTTTTTTTTTTTTTGAGATGGAGTTTTCACTCTTATCGCCCAGGCTGGGGTGCAATGGCGCAACCTTGCTGGTCACTGCAACCTCTGCCTCCTGGGTTCAAGAAATTCTCCTGCCTTAGCCTCCCAAGTCACTGGGATTACAGGTGCCCACCACCATACCAGGCTAATTTTTGTATTTTTAGTGGAGATGCGGTTTCACCATGTTGGCCGGGCCAGTCTCGAACTCCTGACGTCAAGTGATCTTCCCGCCTCGACTCCTGATATCAAGTGATCTTCCCGCCTCGGCCTCCCAGAGTGCTGAGATTACAGACGTGAACCCATGCCTGGCCAGGAATTTTGTTTTTTAGGAAGGCTTTCTACTAATGGAATTCCTGGCCTTGAGAGGATGTTACTTTAGAAGGAAAGGATTTTTTTGTTATTAAAAGGTAAGATTCCTGGATTCTTATTGGACTGTTGTCTCTGTTATGAGTAATCCATCTTTAGTCATTCACCACTAGGGTTGTATTTAATTAAGTCTGAGTTATTTTATGGTGATTTTGTTTTGTTTTGTTTTGTTTTTACCGAATTTTGTTCTCATTGCCGTGGCTTGAGGGCAATGACGTGATCTCAGGTCACCACATTCTCTGCCTTCCAGGTTCAAGCAATTCTCCTGCCTCAGCCTCCTTAGTAGCTGGATTTACAGGCATGCGCCACCATGCCTGGCTAATTTTTTGTATTTTTAGTAGAGATGGTGTTTCACCATGTTGACCAGGCTGGTCTAGAACTCCTGACCTTGGGTGATCCACCCGCCTCGGCCTCCCAAAGTGCTGGGATTACAGGCATGAGCCACTGCGCCCAGCCTGGGCCTGCTTCTTTCTCTTTTTCTTTTTTTTTCATTAGCAGCTTAAAATTGGTGCCTTATTCAGACACAAGCAAAAGGACATTAGCCCAGCTTTGGAAATAGGTGAGAGCCCATATATGATTTTCCTAGTTTCTCCTCCCCCTTTGCTTTTTGCTCTCTTGTTAGTATATTAATTGTTTTCACTCTCTGAATCTTTTTTCCCCATTTCTTTGGCAGACATTTTTACTTGTCTTGGAAGAGTAGGTGAAGAGCTGTTTTTAGGACTCTTTGAAAGGGTACAGTATGGGTGACAGTCTTGGCTAATGGTAACATCCAGGGAGCTGGGGTCAGCGTGAGCTGGAATCAGTTCAAATTAGCAAAGCACTGGCACTCAGTAGCAGGAATACAAGTGACTGCAAAGTGTTAAACACATCTGGAAAGGGATACTGACATCATCCTCAGAATCTGTGGGGAGTTCACATAGCCAGTTAAGACCCATTCTTCTTTGACCCTGTAAAGATTCTTTAAAGAATAAATACCCTTAGTGGTTTTCTAGCCAGCTTGCCTGCTCATTTATCTTTGAGGACGACATGCCTTGTGGAGCTCCACAGGCCCCAGAGGGGTATGGATTCTGCATTTAAAAGTGCTGAAGCTGAGAGACTGGGTCTTGGTGGACCCCGAGAGGTCTGTTTCTCCTCTACTCATTGTTCCTTTTTTTCCCAACAGCTGGCATTGCTGTTTAAATGGGTTGTTCTTTGCTGTTTTAAGTTGTTTCATAGTGGTGTGTCAGGATTTGGGTTTTCTTAATACTTTCCAAGCTGGTGACTTGAGTGGTGGTTAGGGAGGAAATGTTTTAGGGCTGTTCTGGAGCTATTGAGGTCGGGTGTCTAGATACTCCCAGCTTGTCTGTTGAGGAGAATGCTGTTCTCATTGTGCTGCCTTTGGTGGTGCTGTGTGTGGCTCTTTAGATGTGCGTGGAGGTGAGCTGGGGGAGTTAATGAGATCTTTTTTAGGTGCTTTTCATAAAGTAGCCTGCACTACAGGATTCACTGTGACTTTTTTCCTTAACCTATGCATTTCTCTCTGCTAGCTTTTGCTGTCTTTCTCATGCCTTTGATTTTCCCAGCTCCTCTTAGTTGAATTAACCTAAGTGCTCTGCTATGGTTTAAATGTGTCCCCCAAAGTTTATGTGCTGGAAACTCAATCCTCAATGCAACAGTTGGGATGTGGGGCCTAATAAAATAGCCTTCATGAATGAGTTAATGTTGTTATTGTGGTAATAGATTAGTAATCACAGAGTGGGCTTATTATAAAACAGAGTTCAGCCCCTTTTGCCCTCTTGCTTTCTTGCACTCTCTTTTCCTTCTGCCTTCTGTAGTGGGATGATGCAGCAAGAAGACCTTTACCAGATGCAGGCCCCTCAACCTTGGACTTCCTAACATCCAGAACTGTTAAGAAATAAAATTTATTCCTTTCCTTTCCTTTTCTTCCTCCTTTCCCTTCTCTTCCCTTTTCTTCCCTTCCCCTCCCTCCCTCTCTCTCTCCCTCCCTCCCTCCTTCCCTCCCTTCCTCCTTCCCTCTTTCTCTCTTTCCCTTCCTTCCTTTCCTTCTTTCCCTTCCTTCCTTTCCTTCCCTCCTTCCCTTTTTCCCTCCTTCCCTCCTCCCTTCCTTTTTTCTTTCCTTCCTTTTTTCCTTTTTATAAATTATGCAGTCTGTGGTATTCTTTTATAGAAGCATGAAATGGACAAAGACTCCATTTTCAAGAGCAAGCACTTTTGTAGTTTCTGAGCGAACTATGACTGCAAAGGAAGTTCTATAGGTAGCCTCAGATCCACTACCTAGGAAGCATGCTACCAAGCAGACCTAGGATCTAGGATTTGATCAAGTGCTGGGCAACATGATACCTCTGCAATTTAGCACTTCCCTATATACCTCCAGTTGGCTCAGCCCATTAGGGCTAAAACTACCCCTCATATCCTAGTGTCTCTTGTAGGCAGAAGCCTTGCCTAAACCCTAAGCTGCTTGGCTCACATTCTCTCTTGTGCTTTTTTTGTAGGGGGTTCAAATATACACAAAAGAAATATGTTGAACCTCCATGCACCCAACCCGCAGATTAAGCAGTTACCTCCATTTTTCCAGATTTGTTTCATCTGCTTCAATCTCCCTAAAAATTTATGTTTGTACAGGAAAGACTGAATAAATAGCTAATTTTCCACCCTACCTCTCATCTTAAGTCACTTTTCAGAGTAGTAAGTTAGTGACCTAGTAACCTTCCCTCTAATGACCAGTAGTTTTTTTTTCTGAATACCATTATGAACTCATAGATTATTGTTTGCATTTGATGTATTTCAGGCCATTGCAGTCTTTATTGTTTTGGATGCTTACATTGTCTCATCTAGGTTAATAATTATCTCTTCAAGTTGACTTTCATGTCTTTTTGAAGTGATCCTGTTGGACTTTGATGGCTTCCTTGCTTTCTGGCAAAACAGATGTTCCAGGATCAATATACTGCACCATACATGGAGTCAGCCATTTCTCTAGGGAACCTTGATTCCTTTTAGTAGAGAACACAGTTTGAGGTCTTGGACTGAATGACTTTTGTGAACCTCCTCTCCTGAGACTACAGCCTGCATCCCTGCATATAGCCCGTTTGGAGCTCTTGCTGGGCACCAACAGATCTCCTAAAACTGCTATATAGTTCTGCCTCACTCTTACAAAGATTCATCTCTTGAGAGTTTTGTGCTCTACCCCCAGATGTGGTCTTTCTGGTTATGAAGCTTTTGCTTCAGTCACCCTGAATTTTGCCAGCCCTATGCATGCTATACCTTGGATTGCCAACTTGCCCTCACTGAAGCCAGTTTCTCTGGTTAGAATAGTTGCCCAAACCCATGCCTAATACTCTAGTAAACAAGGTTCTACCTGGGCTTAGGTTAACTTTTGCTCCTTTGGGCCCTGTGTTCTACCAGCATTCCATTTATCTGAAACTCTCCCTCACCTTAAGAACTTATCTGTTCTTTAATGATTTACTGCTGCTTCCTGGGCTCGAAAGAACCCAGTTCAGGAGTTTCTGTTTTAGTTTGAGATCTTATAGGCCTGTCTCATCAGGTTGGTGTCAGCCCAGCTAGGATTAGGCAGAATTGGGTGGGGGCTGTAGTGCACTTTTGGCACAGCATGTACCTGTCTGACTAATTCTCTGTCTTTTCTTTCCTGTTGCAATTCATGGGTCTTAGCATCTTCTGAATGGTGTTTAGTAGGTCATCCTGTTGATTTCCTGCTAGGGAGTAGCATACTCTGGCTCTGTACCACTGGCCAAGGGACTTAAGGATAGATGAAGGGCTGCAGTTTTGTTAAATGGAACAATATGAAGAGATGGCATTGTTAAAAAAAAAAAAAAAAGGCTTGGCAGCAGGGCCCATTTGAATGGTTGGTCCTTGGCTCCTTTGTTGATATAGGCAGATCCTTGATGGGAATTTGGAATGATCCCAAATATTGTAGATCACTGGTACATCAAGTCATCCTCAAGGTTGTCTGTGTAACAGTCTTGAATGATATTTTGTCAGTCTTTGGAGATTCTCTGTATAGGGTTTAATCATTTAGTTATTTCAGTTGAGCCTGTTTAGTTTCTTTGCAAGGAGATAAGAAATGTGAAAGAGATGCAGACATTAGGGAAAAAAAGTCAGGAGCCTTGTTTCCCCATCCTCTACTTGGGTTCTGGAACTAGACTCATAGGTGAGTAGTGAGGAGCTGGGCCCAAGCACATTAATCCTAGATCTAGCTCTGCTTTGCCCTCGCTCCAGTTCTTGTATCAAATTCACTTCAAGCCACCCAGAGTAGTATGTAGAGGAGTCATTCAGGACCATGCTCATACTTCATTGTATCAAATGGGAGATCCAGTAATTTATAGCCTATTGTTTCTGGAGCCTGGAGATGGCTCTGCATAAGATTTGCCGAAGCAAATTTTATTACATTAGAAGAGAACCTAGCTGGCTGCATCCTACACTGGAAGCTTTTAGATGCTAATAAGGAGGTCATGTAAAGGTCACAGAATGACTCTGGAATCCATTCCCCGCCAAGAAAGAATAATGACATTCTATGTTGGCCTCTTTTCATTTCCCTTTGGTTTTGAGTAATAAATTCTCTCCTCACTTCCCAGTCGAACTGTTTGGGAGTCTCTATTCCCTAGAAAGACTCTGGTCACATACCCATCAGATTAAATTAGGTGAAAACTCTTTGGCCTTCATGAATGTTGAAGGATTTCAAAGGGCTAATGGAAATTCTTCTAGAAGTAACTGCAACCTCCGCCTTCCGGGTTCAAGCGATTTTCCTGCCTCAGCCTCCCAAGTAGCTGGGATTACAGGTGTCCACCACCATGCCCAACTAATTTTTGTATTTTTAGTAGAGACGGGGTTTCACCATGTTGGCCAGGCTGATCTAGAACTTTTGACCTCAGGTGATCCGCCCGCCTCAGCCTCCCAAAGTGCTGGGATTACAGGCGTGATCCACCGCGCCCAGTTAAACTTCAGTTTTTCATGTTCCATGCATTGGTCAGGGTCTTAGGGAGTGATTCATTCTAGCAGAACTCCCTGGATTTTAAGGCAGATGTTCCATTTATTAATTGACAAAGGAGGCATATTTCTCCCCTGGTAACCCAAAGATTTAGGTCATTTTCCCAGAGACTCCATTTCCACTGTGAGGGTTCTTGGAAAACTAAGCAGAGGATGAGGAAAAGTCTGTGAACAAGCTTGCTGGTCTCTCCCTGTCCTACAAAAGAGCATACCTCTTCTGTAACCAGAAGGCCCTTTTGATTAGTCAAGGCTGGACAGAGTGAGATTGGGTGTGTGTGTGTGTGTGTGTGTGTGTGTGTTTGTGTGTGTCTTGAGACTGGGTCTCACTCTGTCACCAAGGCTAGAGTGCAGTGGTGAGATCAGAGCTCACTGCAGCTTCCACTTCCTGGGCTCAAGCGATCCTCCTATTTCAGCCTCCAGAGTAGCTGGGACTATACGAATGTTTTACCGCACCCAGTTCATTTTCTAATTTTTTGTAGAGATGAGGTTTCACTGTGTTGCTCAGGCTGGTCTTGAACTCCTGGCCTCACGGAATCCTCCTGCCTTAGTCTCCCAGTGGGCTGGGATTATAGGTATGAGCCACCTCACCTGACCTGCGACGATTTTTCAATGATGTAATTTCTCTTTTACAGAGCCACCTAAGCTGAAGATTCCCTTGAGAACAAGTACTGTCCCTAGTTTCCCAGTGCTGGAATATAGAAAATGGATGGACAAGTAAATCCCACTCAGCACCCATAGTCCAGGCATGGGGACCTCAACACACCTGAGCCCCAGACATCACCTTTCATTGCGAGTAGCTCTGAGATGACACTTCTGCTGTTCCCAATTCCAGCATTAATTGGATTAGATAGTTATTTTATGAAGAATTTTCATATGCCACAATCCTGACCATATCTTCAAGTGAACAGAAAAATTCTATTAAAAAGTCAACCTTCTGTCTCACTCTGTTGCCCAGACTGGAGTGTAGTGGTGCAATTATGGCTCACTGCAGCCTCAACCTCCTGGGCTCAAGCAATCCTCCTGCCTCAGCCTCACAAGTAGCTGGGACTACAGGTGCTTGTCACCACACCTCACTAATTTTCCCATTTGTGTTATATGTGGATTCCACAGGACTGACTTTGAAAACTTGAGTATGCGTGGATTTTGGTATACACAGAAATGGGAGAGCTGGAACTAATCCCCCCATATACCAAGGGACAAATTGTATCTGTTTCTACAATTATACAGTAGGAGACATTATGTTCCATGACAATGGCAATTTTTAACGACAGTTTTTAATTGAGTGAAATTACCATAAAAAAAATAATAGTAGCAGCTAATATTTACTGAGCTGTTACTAGGTGCCTATAAATAGCATAGATTTTTAAATTCTCCATAATTCTTCCTTATTTCACTTAACCACCCTATCTTAAATTACTCATGCTTGCCTCAGTAGCACACATACTTAAGTTGGAACAATAGAGAGATTGGCACGGCCTCTGTGAAAGAATGACATGCAAATTTGTGAAGCATTCCATATTTTTTTAAAAAAAGAGAAAAAAATTACTCCCAGATTTTCACGGTGTTTGTGCATATGACCTTTTGTTTAGGTTGAATTATATCCAAAGGTGAAATTTCCAGAAGTGAGATTACTGTGAGTCACAGGGCATGAGCATTCTTATTACCCTCAATGTAAATTGCAAAGCTTTCAGGCATGGTGGCTGTCAGCCTGTAATTCCAGCACTTTGGGAGGCTGAGGTGGGAGGATTGCTTGAGGCCAGGAGTTGGAGGAGGCAGTATAATGAGTCACTGTCTGTATGATTTAAAAAAAATTTCCAAGCTTTATGCTGGAAGGCTTATATACATTTTAAACACCACTAATACTACAAGAAAATGGCCATTTCACTGCACCTTCGCCCACACAGGTATTATAATTTAACAAGTTATTTTCTGTGTGATAAATGAAAGACCTCCTATTAGCTGGGATTACAGGCATATGCCACCATGCCTGGTTAATTTTTGTATTTTTAGTAGAAACGTGGTTTCACCATGTTGATCAGGCTGGTCTCGAACTCCTGATCTCAAGATCTACCCGCCTTGGCCTCCCAAAGTGCTTGATTACAGCTGTGAGCCATGTGCCCAGCCTATTTGTCACATATTTTATCTTTCCTTATGTTAGCTTATTAGCTTTATTTCTTTATTGTCCTTTTTTTTTTTTTTGAGATGAAGTCTCGCTCTGTCTCCTAGGCTTCAGTGTAGTGGCACAGTCTCAACTCACTGCAGCCTTGACCTCCTAGGCTCAGGTGATCCTTCCACCTCAGTAGTTGGGACTATAGGCACATGCCACTATGCCTGGCCAATTATTTTTATTTTTTTATTTTTACTAGAGAGGAGGTCTTGCTTTGTTTCTTAGGCTGGTCTGGAACTCCTGGCCTCAAGCAATCCCCCCACCACCCCCTCCCAAAGTACTGGTATTATAAGCATGAGCCACCATGCCTGGGGTATCTGTGTCTTTTCCATTTATTTATAGAGTTACTTTGTCTTTTACTAATTCAATGATCTGTTTAATCTTTTATTAAATTATAAAAATGATAAATACTTTTAAATAAGTGAAAAATGTCCTTCACTCTTTAGACCCATAATCTTATCTCAGGAAATAATTGCAGTTGAGAAAATGGGCCATATCCTTCAAGATACGTACATGGTGATTGAACATCACTTCATATTTTCATATTTCGTGGACATTTGTGCCAATACCTATTGATCTATCTTAATCCTTTTCATGGTTGCATAATATTTTATTATATGGATGTATCACAATTTACCAGTACCAGTCAACTGCTGGAGGCATTTAGGCTCCTTCTAATATTTGCTTTGAGCTCTTTATATAATTAAAAATTAACCCCCTCAGCCAGGTGTGGCAGCTCACACCTGTAATCCCAGCATTTTGGAAGGCTGAGGTGAGAGAACTGCCTGAGTGTAGGAGATCACCACCAACCTGGTCAACATAGTGACACTTTGTCTCTACTAAAAATTAAAAAAAAAAAATGAGCTACACGTTGCAGTGCACACCTGTAGTCCGAGCTACTGGGGAGGCTAAGACTGGAGGATCACTTGAGTCTAGAAGGTTGAGGCTGCAGTAAGCTATGATCACACCATTGCACTTTAGCTTTGCTAAGAGCAAGACTGCATTTCTTAAACAAAATAAAAATTAGATGGGAATATTGCTCAAGCCCTGGAGGTTGAGGCTGCAGTTAACTGTGATTGCACCACTGCAGTCCAGCCTAGGTGATAGAGCAAGACCCTTTCTCTAAAAATAAAATAAAATAAAAATTAACCTTCTATCATATTTCCCAGTAACACCTTCCCTCCTACATTTCTCCTAGAAGCCCTTAAATTTTGTTTTTCACATATCGTTTAAAACTTTTAAGTGCTGATGTCTGTCTGTGTCATCCCTCTTTTTTTTTTTTTTTAAATGTCTTTTTGTCACTTCTAGCTGGACCTACCATGAAAGACTTCTGAATCCAAGAAGAGAAACTGACTGGGCAACATGTTATTCAGGTACAAAAAGACTTGGACTGTAACTCAAAAATGATCAAATAATAGTGCATGCATCAAGTGCAATCGGAAGCTCTTCTGGAGAGGGAGAGAAGCTTCCAGTTAAGGTGACATTGAAGCCAAGTCCTGTAAGATAAGGAAGAGTTGTATGAGAGTGGGGAGGGAAGGGGGAGGTGGAGGGATGGGGATTGGGCTGGGATGGGATGGAGTGACCTGCCCAGGCAGGGAAACCAGCACTATACAGACCTGAACAATGAAGATGGCACATTTTGTTCAGGGAATGGTGAATTAAGTGTGGCAGAAATGCTTTGTAGAGACAGTAATTTGCTTGTATGGAATTTTGCCCAAGAGACCTCATTACAGTTTCTAATTTTTTGATGTTATCATGCATCACTGCCCTTGTCAGATAGTATCATGATCACAATAACATCAAGCATAATATTTCATTGATTCTCACAAAAACAGGTGGGTGCCACAGTTATCCCCATTATATGCACAAAATGATGAAGACTTGGGGTTAATGAGTGATTTGCCCAAGCTCACCTGAATATTAGGACTGAGTCAAATGTTAGTCTGGTCTGACTTTAATGCTTGCCTTGTTCATGAGCACCATGCATTGCCTCTCCTATTAAGTTAAGCAGGTAGACAGGTGAGAGAAGAGCCAGTGTGATATCGGGGGAAATTTACCCCTGATATTTCATGTAGGTTCTTTTCTATTTTCCCTGAGTGTCAGCCAGTCTGAGAAATAAAGGGAAAGAGTACAAAAGAGAGAAATTTTAAAGCTGGATGTCCAGGGGAGACATCACACGTCGGCAGGTTCCGTGATGCCCCCCAAGCCGCAAAACCAACAAGTTTTTATTAGTGATTTTCAAAAGGTGAGGGAGTGTACGAATAGGGTGTGGGTCACAGAGATCACATGCTTCACAAGGTAATAAAATATCACAAGGCAAATGGAGGCAGGGCAAGATCACAGGACCACAGGACCGGGGCGAAATTAAAATTGCTAATGAAGTTTCGGGCGCGCATTGTCATTGATAACATCTTATCAGGAGAAAGGGTTTGAGAGCAGACAACCCATCTGACCAACATTTATTAGGCGGGAATTTCCTTGTCCTGATAAGCCTGGGAGCGCCACGTGAACCCAGGGCTTATTTCATCCCTTATCTACGACTGTAAAAGACAGCCGTCCCCAAAGCGGCCATTTCAGAGGCCTCCCCTTAGGGATGCATTCTCTTTCTCAGGGATGTTCTTTGCTGAGAAAAAGAATTCAGCAATACTTCTCCTATTTGCTTTTGAAAGAAGAGAAATATGGCTCTGTTCAACCCGGCCCACAGGCAGCCAGAGTTTAAGGTTATCTCCCTTGTTCCCTGAAATTGCTGTTATCCTGTTCTTTTTTCAAGGTGCCCAGGTTTCATATTGTTTAAACAACTTGTGCAGTTAACGCAATTATCACAGGGTCCTGCGGGGACATTCATCCTCAGCTTACGAAGATGACCGGATTAAGAGATTAAAGACAGGCATAGAAAATCACAAGGGTATTGATTGGGGAAGTGATAAGTGTCCATGAAATCTTCACAATTTATGTTCAGAGATTGCAGTAATGACAGGCCTAAGAAATTATAGAAGTATTAATTTGGGGAACTAATAAATGTCCATGAAATCTTCACAATTTATGTTCTTCTGCTGTGGCTTCAGCCAGTCCCTCCGTTTGGGGTCCCTGACTTCCTGCAACACGTTTCTCTCTACTCACAGACTTCTGACCAAATGTGTGTGCAGAGTTTCTACACCAGTTCTCCAACTCTCTGGATACCAACCGCGTATCCCACAATTCCATTCTGACACTACCTAGAGTTAGCACAGAACCCACAGGTTAGGGGCTCAGTCCCACAAGACCACCCTCACTTCAGATGCCAGTTGCAAGTCCTAGGTTGTCACCTGTATTTTGACCAACCAGTTAGAAATCAGGGTTTCCCATGACCCTCTTGTTGAGTTTAATTATTTACTAGAACAACTCACAGAACTTAGAAAAACAAGTTTTTTTTCTTTTCTTTTTAAGAGACAGGGCCTCGCTCTGTTGTCCAAGCTGGTGTGCAGTGGTGCAATCATAGCTTATTGAAGCCTCAACGTCCAGGGCTCAAGTGATTCTCCTGCTTCAGCCTCTCAAGTAGCTGGAATTACAGGGTTCCCACCACCACATTTGGCTAATTTCTTTTATTTTTTGTATAGATGGGGTCTTCTTATGTTGCTCAGGTTGGTCTCAAATTCCTAGGCTCAAGTGATTCCGCCCACCTCTGCCTCCCAAAGTGCTGGGATTACGGGCATGAGCCAGTGCATCTGGCCACCTTATTTTCTATTACTGGCTCAATGTAATGGCTCCATCTCAGGAACAGCCAATGAAAGAGATGCACAGGACAAGGTAAGTGGGGAGGGGCACAGAGCTTCCATGCCCTCTGTTGGGCACACTACCCTCCCAGGACCTCCTTGTGTTTAGCAACACAGAAGCTCTCCAAACCCTGCTGTTTGGGTGTTTATGGAGGCATGATTGATAAAATCACTGGCCATTGGTAGTTAAGTCAATCTCCAGTTCCTTTTGCCTCCTGGAGTTCAGCAGGTGAGGCTGAAAGTTCCAAGCCTCAAAAAATGTGGTTGGGGCCAGGTGCGGTGGCTCACTCCTGTAGTCCTAGCAGTTTGGAAGGCTGAGGCACATGGACCACTTGAGGTCAAGAGTTTGAGACTAGCCTGACCAACATGGTGAAACCCCGTTTCTACTAAAAATAACAACAGTTAGCTAGGCGTTGTGGCACATCCCTATAATTCCAGCTACTCGGGAGGCCGAGGCAGGAGAATTGCGTGAACCCGGGAGGTGGAGGTTGTAGTGAGCTGAGATTGTGCCATTGCACTCCAGCCTGGGCTACAAGAGCCAAACTCCGTTTAAAAAAAAAAAATGTGGTTGCTTTCTCTGGCAGCTAGCCCTCCTCCTGAAGCAGTCTCGGAGCTTGCAGCCACCCTGTTAGCTCAACAGCATCCCACATGCATTCTTACCATGCTGCAGATCTGAAAGACCTTAGAGGCCCTTGTGTCAGGAACCTGGGACTAAGACTAAATATCAAAACAGAAAATGCTCCTATTACCTCTGTCACGAAGGGCTTTATAAGAGCTTTGGAAGCTCTATGCCAGGAACCACGGGCAGAGACCAAATGTATATTTCTTTTCTTATATCGGAGACAGAGTCTCACTCTGCCACTGAGGCTGGAGTGCAGTGATGTGATCATAGCTCACTGCAGCCTTGACCTCCTAGGCTAAAGCAATCCTCCCACCTTAGCCTCTCCAGTAGCTGGAACTACAGGCATGCATCACCATGTCCAGCTGATTTTAATTTTGTAAAGGCAGGATCTTCCTATTTTCCCCAGGCTGATCTCTAACTCTTGGCCTCAAGCAATCCTTCCTCTTTGGCCTCCCAAAATGTTGGGATTACAGATGGGAGCCCCCATACCCACCAATCACAAGGATCTTTATAAGAGAATGAGGTAGGAGAGTCAGAATTAGAGAAAGTGATGTGGTAATGGAAGAAGAGGTCAGAGAGGGAGATTTGAAGATGCTGCACTTCTGGCCTTGAATATGGAGTCACGAGGTAAGTCAAGGAATGGAGGTGGCTTCTAGAAGCTGGAAAAGGCAAAGGAGCACATTCTGTCTAGAGCCTCCCCCAGAAGGAATGCAGCCTCTCTGACACCTTGACTTTAGCCTTGATAGACCTAGTTGGGCTTCTGGCCCCCAGAACTGTAAGATGGTAGATTTGTGGTGTTTGATGCCACTAAATGTAGGGTACTTTGTTGTAGCAACAACAAAAAATGAACATGAAGCTGGGACCTCATGTTACAGTTGCTCACGCCTGTAATCCCAGAACTTTAGGAGGCTGAGGTGGGAGGATCGCTTAAGCCCAGGAGCTTAAGACCAGCCTGGGCAACATAATGAGACCTCATGTCTAAAAAAAAATGTTTTTAAAGGCCAGGCGCAGTGGCTCACGCCTGTAATCCCAGCACTTTGGGAGGCCGAGGAGGGTGGATCACGAGGTCAGAAGTTCAAGACCAGCCTAGCCAAGATGGTGAAACCCCATCTCTACTAAAAATACAAACATTAGCCAGGTGTGGTGGTGGGTGCCTGTAATCCCAGCTACTTGGGAGGCAGAGAATCACTTGAACCCAAAAGGCAGACATTGCAGTGAGCCAAGATCGCACCCTTACACTTCAGCCTGGGCGACCGAGACTCCGTCTCAAAAAAAAAAAAAAAAGCCATGTGTTGTGGCATGCAGCTGTAGTCTCAGTTCCTAGGGTGGCTGAGGCGGGAGGATTGTTTAAGCCTGGGAGGTTGAAGTTGCTGTGAGCTGTGATTGCACCAGTGTACTCCAGCCTGGGCAATAAAGCAAGACCTTGTTTCAAAAAGAAAGAAATGAGCATGGTGGGAATGGGGACAGATGGCAGTGTTAAGTAGAGTGGTCAGGGTTGGCCTCATAAGTGAATATTGAGCAAAAGTTTGAAGCAGGTGATGGAGCTGGCCAAGGTGCTGAGGGAAGAGCATTGTAGGCTGAGTCAACAGGATAAAGGCATTAGGAGGAAACTCTCTGGTGTGTCTGAGGCTCTGGAAGGAGGCCAGTGGAGCAAAGAGATAGAGGGAGCGAAGTCAGCGAGGAGGCCAGGGAGTTGCTGGGCTGGGATCGGTACAGATCGTGTAAGCCCTGGGACGCTATTGCTGGGGCTTTGGCTTTTACTCTGACTAAAATGGGAACCACCAAGGGCTTCTGAGCAGAGAGGCGACATGATCCGTCTCCTGATTTAAAAGCACGACCTGGCTGCCGAGTTGAGAAAGACTATGGGAAGATTTGGGTAGAAGCATGGGGGCCAAGCTGTGGCAACATCCCAGTGGGAGATGATAGTGATCCTGACGGGGTTCATGGTGGTGGTGAGAGATGGTTAGAGCCTGGATACATATTGAAGTCAGTCAGTAGGATTTCCTGACAGACTGGATGTGAGCTGTGAGAGAAGGCAGTGGTCAAGGTTGAGTTTGATTCTGATTGAATTATTAAGTAATTTTAAAAAACACTACTGCTTTTCCCAATCCTACCAAGTAAAGGATGCTAGATAAAAGAAATCCCAAGTCAGGCCAGGTACAGTGGCTCACACCTATAGTTCCAACAGTTTGAGAGGCAGAGATGGGAGTATGTTTTAAGGCCATGAGTTTGAGAGCAGCCTGGGCAACACAGCAAGACCTCCTCTCTACAAAAATAAAAAAAATAAATTTAATAAAATAAAATAAATATAGCCAGGCATGATGGTATGTACCTATGGCCCCAGTTACTCATGTGGCTGAGATGGGCAGATCTCTTGATTCTAGGAGTTTGAGGCCAGCTTGGGCAACATAGCAAGTCTTCTCTCTCTACAAAAATGAAAAAAATGCCTGACATGGTGGTACTTGCCTGTATTCCCAGGTATGGGGGCAGCTGAGGCAGGAGCATCTCTTGAGCCCAGTTGGTCAAGGTTGCAGTGAGCTATGATTATACCACTGCACTCCATCCTGGGTGACAGAGTGGGACCCTGTCTCAAAATACAAATACAAATGAAATCTCAAGTCAGACCAGTCCCTTCTAGGCTATGTAGGCCTTGTAACCACATAGCTGCATGATCGGGTTTGTGTGGCTGTGGATGAGGAGACCCCTGTCCAATTGTTGGCTATGTAATCAGTTTATTTTTCAATATAGTAATCAAATATATTTCATCATACTTGATGGTCTCAGATATGTGTGGATTTTGGAATTCCCCTTGGAACAGGTTGTAACATCTTATTGGCTCCATAATTCCATAATTTTTTTAATCTGATCAGTTTTTAATAAGATCGCAATTTATATTAGACTACTTAATCGGTTTTGTTAATGACAAAATGAAATTGTGTTGTTTGCATTTTATCCAAGATGGGTGTCATATTGGGTAAATCTCATCAATACTTGAACAAATGCAAAATTAGAGCTTCTTTATCATGAAACACGATGTAATTCTTGAAGAAGATGCCATTTCTTTTTTTTCTTTTTTTTTTTAAGATAAGAGTCTTTCTCTTGTCACCCAGGCTGGAGTGCAATGGTGCGATTTTGGCTCACTGCAACCTTCACCTTCTGGGTTCAAGCAATTCTCCTGCCTCAGCCTCCCGAGTAGCTGGGATTACAGGTGCCCGCCACCATACCCAGCTAATTTTTGTATTTTTAGTAGAGATGGGATTTCACCATGTTGGCCAGGCTCCTCTGGAGCTCCTGACCTCAGGCAATCTGCCTGCCTCAGCCTCCCAAAATTCAAGGAGTACAGATGTGAACAACCACGCCCGGCCTCCATTTCTTTTTTGTAGTCTTTAATAAACAGCTGCTATCATTGCAGACTTGCTGTTTAGGCACTTAGGAATTTTTCACTAGAAGGCATGTAAATAAAGACCATGGGCAATTGTAATGAATTTCGCCTTCATTCTTTGACTACATGACTGTCCCCAGAGCTGTAACTTTATTGAATTTTTTAGAAGCCATTTAGCTAGCAACTGAGCCTAACCAGCCACTCACCGTCATTATTCAGTGCTCTTTTATTATTGTCTATTTCTCCTCCAACTTGGCTACACTCACAAAGTGATAAAAACTTGCATTTGTTTTCTTTCCTTTTCAGAGACAGCGTCTTGCTCTGTTGCTTAGGCTACAGTACAGTGACATGATCATGGTTCACTGTAGCCTCAAACTCCTGGGCTCAAGTGGTTCTCTCACTTCAGTCTCCCAAGTAGCTGGGACTACAGACATGTGCCACCATGTCCAGCTAATTTTTTATCATAGAGACGGGATCTTGCCATGTTGCTCCGACTGGGCTCAAAACTCCTGACCTCAAGTGATCCTCCTGCCTCAGCCTCCCAAAGTGCTGGGATTACAGGCAGGCATGACCACCTGTGCCCAGCCCCCTATTATTATTATTTTAAATAATAGCTTTATTAAAATATTCAAATGCCATTCACTTTATTTATTGAAATCTGCAATTCCGTAGGTTTTAGAATATTCACAGAGCTGTGCATCGATCACCACAGTCACTTTTAGAACCTTTCATTACCCTATAGAGAAATCCATACCCCTTAGCTACTACCTCCTACTCTCCCCACCTACCTTTGCCCCCAGCCTTAGGCAACCATTGATTAATTTTTTGTCACTATAGATTTGCCTAATCTGGACAAATAGAATTGTACAATATGTGATCTTTTGTGGCTTTTTTTCCCTCTTAGCACAGTGTTTTCAAAGTTCCTTTATGTCATAGTGTGTATCAATATTTCATTCCTTCTATGGCAGTATTCCATGGTAGAGACACACTGCATTTTGTTTATCTGTTCATCAGTTGGTGGATATTTGGGTTGTTTCCATGTATTCCATGTATTGGTCATTATGAATAATGCTGCTATGAAGATTGTTGTACAAGTTTTTGTGTGGACATATATTTTTATTTTTCTGGGATATATGCCTAGGAGTGAAATTGTTGCATTATAGGATGACTGTACATTTAGCCTTTTGAGAAACTGCCAGACTGTTTTCTAACGTGGCTATACCAGTTGGGTGCAATGGCTCACACCTGTAATCCCAGCTACTCAGGAGGCTCAGCTAGGAGGATGGCTTGAGCCCGTGAATTCAAGACCAGCCTGGGCAAGATAGTGAAACCCCGTCTTGATTTTTTAAAAATCCAATTAAAATGACAAGAAAAGAAATACCCAAACAAAATGGTTACACAATTTTATGTTCCCACCAGTAATGTTTGTGGGTTCCAATTCCTCCACATCTTCACTGACATTTTTTTTTTCTAGATAGGGGCTTGCTCTGTCTCTCAGGCCGCAGTGCAATGATGCCATCACAGTTCACTGCAGCCGTGACCTCCCAGGCACAAGTGATTCTCTCATCTCAGCCTCCTGGGTAGCTGAAAATTACAGGTGTACGCCACCATGCCTGGCTAATTTTTAGATTTTTCTGTAGTGGTGGGATTTTACCATGTTGCCCAGGCTGGTCTCATACTCCTGGCCTCAAGTGATCTGCCCACCTCAGCCTCCCTAAGTTCTGGAATTACAGGCTGCCACCATGCCCGGCCTTCACCAACATTTGCCATTATCTGTTTTTTTTTTCTTCCTTTATACCTTAAAGCAGTATAAGAACAAGTGTCTTCAATTATAGGAAACAGTATAATCCCAGGGCTTTGGGAGGCTAAGACAGGAAGATGTCTTGATGCCAGGAGTTTTTTTTGTTGTTGTTGTTTTTGTTTTTGTTATTGTTGTTGTTGTTTTTGACAGTCTCGCTCTGTCACCCAGGGTGGAGTGCAGTGATGGGGTCCACTGCAACCTCCACCTCCCAGGTTCAAGTGATTCTCCTGCCTCAGCCTCCCGAGTAGGTGAGACTACAGGTACACGCCACTACTGCCCAGCTAATTTTTGTATTTTTGATAGAGTCAGAGTTTCACCGTGTTGGCCAGGCTGGTCTCGAACTCCAGACTTCAGGTGATTTGCCTGCCTTAGCTTCCCAAAGTGCTGCGATTGCAAGCATGAGCCACCATGCCCAGCCTGATGCCAGGAGTTTTAGACTAGCCTGGGAAACCTAGCAAGACCTTGTCTCTACAGAATATTTAAAAATTAGCCAAATGTGGTGGTGCCTGTGTATAGTCTCTCTCCCTCTCTTTTTTTTTTTTTCTAACTTTTTGTGACATGGTCTGGCTCTGTCACCCAGGCTGAAGTGCAGTGGTGTGATCATGGCTCACTGCAGCCTGAAACTCCTGGGATCAAGTGATCAATCCTCCCACCTCATCCTACCAAGTAGTAGGGACCACAGGTGTATGCCACCCAGGTCTTGCTATGTTGTCCAGGCTGGTCTTGAGCTCCTGGCCTCAAGCAATCCTCTCACCTTGGCCCCCCACAGTGCAAGGATTACAGGTATGAGCCACCATGCCTGGCCCCTACCCTGCCTACTGAGAACCAAAGGAAGGATCCAAATTCTCCTTAGCTCAACTCGAGCCATTTCCTGATTGCTTCATCAGCGAGGAGCTGGTTATTGGGCTGTCCAGGCCTCCCAAGCAGCACAGAAATGAGGTGAAGGAGTTTTCCTGTTGCTCCACTCTGTAAGGAGTTGGAGGGTGATGTTTACTCGTTTGCAGAGAGAGATGCCTTGTAGGCACCTCAGCATGGAGAGGGCCCTGATTCCAATGTCCTTTTTTTCTTCAGAAACAGGACCTTGCCCTGTCACTCAGGATGGAGTTCAGTGGTCCTATCATGGCTCATTATAGCCTCAAACTCCCAGGCTCAAGCAATCCTACCATGTCAGCCTTCCCAGTAGCTGGGACTACAGGTAAGCATCGTGACACTCAGTGAATTTTGTTTTTATTTTGTTGTAGAGATGGGACCTCAGTATGTTGCCATGGCTGACCTTGAACTCCTGCACTCAAGGGATTTTCCTACCCTGGCCTCCCAAAGTATTGGTATTACAGGCATGAGCCATTGTGCCCACCGTCTCTGGTTCTTAACCTTCTGCCTCCCTCTTCCAGTTTTAAAGAATGCTTGTAATTACATGGGCTCTCCTAGATACTCCAGGATAATCTTGTTTTAAGGTCAGCTGATGAGCAACATTAATTTTATCTGCACTCTTAATTCCCCCTTCCTATGTAATTGTGCTGTGTAACATAGGACATGAGCAATTGGTGGCGGTGGGGGTTATTACTTTGGCCACCACAGTAACTATTTTATGCCAGGTACTCAGCTAAGCACTGGTGAATTAAGCATGAATAACACACACTCCTTAATCTCCATCCATTCATGGGAGGAGCACTTCACCTGCCATGCTCCTGAGAATCTCGGGAGTCATAGAAGTCTTCTATGAGGAGGTGATGCCAAAGCGGACAAGTGACAGAGGAGTCAAAGCTAGCTAGGAAGAGAGTAGAGGTTTAAGGGGAAGCATATTATAAGCAGAGGATATTACCCACTTCAGAGACTCCCAGAGGAGAAAGAGTGTGCATTCAAGGGGCAGATGAGGCTCAGTTGGACTCCATAGCAGATGTAATGGAGAGGGGCAAGCAGTGAGGCTGCCTTGCAAGGCAGGGCAGAGCAGGGGCTGTTAAGGAGTTTGGACTTAATCCCTGAGGCAAGGAGAAGTGATGTAAATGGGGGAGTAACATGATGAGATTCATAGATTAGAGACATGGCTCAGGCTGCTGTAGAGAAGGCACCAGGAAGAGCAGATGGCTCAATGTGTGTGCAGAAGACCTCTCCCTGAGTTTAGGGAGAGGTTTTTAAAACAGAAGAAGTTTGAGTAATTTAAATGATGATGGGAAGGAGCTAAAAGTGGGGGATAGGTTAAAGATACAGGAAAGTGGGAGGAAGAACTGACAAGTGAGGTTCCAGAGAGGGCAGGAGAAGAGGAGATTCCCATAGGGGGATTAACACTTTCTTTTCTTTTTTCTTTCTAAGACAGGGTCTCACTCTGTCACCCAGGCTGGAGTGCAGTGGCACAATCTTGGCTCACTGTAGTGTAGACTTCCCAGGCTCAAGGGATTTCTCCCACCCCAGACTCCCAAGTAGCTGGAACTACGGGTGTGCACCACCACCACACCTGGCTAATGTCTCTTTTTTTTGGTAGACACAGAGTCTCACTATTTAGCACTGATTGGTCTCCAACTCCTGGCCTCAAGCGATCCTCCTGCCTAGGCTTCCCAAATTGCTGGGATTACAGGCATGAGCCACAATGCCTGGCCTCTGCTAGTTCCGTATTCTCTAGAGTTGTCTTTACTTTGTGCTAGTGTGTCCCTCATTGTGCTGATCCTCTGTAAAAATTAATACCTTTTTTTTTTTTTTGAGATGGAGTTTCACTCTTGTTGCCCAGGCTGGAGTGCAATGGTGCTATCTCGGCTCAGCGCAACCTCCACCTTCTGGGTTCAAGCAATTCTCCTGCCTCAGCCTCCCGAGTAGTTGGGATTACAGGCATGTGCCACCATGCCCAGCTAATTTTGTATTTTTAGTAGAGATGGGGTTTCTCTGTGCTGGTCAGGCTGGTCTCGAACTCCTGACCTCAGGTGATCTGTCTGCCTTGGCCTCCCAAAGTGCTGGGATTACAGGCATGAGCCATTTTGCCTGGCCAAAATTAATACTTTTTATATTAAATTTATATATATATATATATATATATATATATATATACACGTTTTTTCTTTTTGATACCGGGTCTCACACTGTCACCCAGGCTGGAGTACAGTGGCACAACCTCTGCTCACTGCAGCCTCCACCTGCCAGGCTCAAGCAATTCTCCTGCCTCAGCCTCCCGAGTAGCTGGGATTACAGGTAAGTGCCACCACACCCAGCTGATTTTTGTGTTTTTTGTAGAGACGAGGTTTCGCCATGTTTCCCAGACTGTTCTCAAACTCCTGAGCTCAAAGCAGTCCACCCACCTTGGCCTCCCAGAGTTCTGGGATTACAGGTGTGAGCCATCTTGCTCATTCTAGTTTAAACTTTTGAGTGGTTTGTGTCTCCTGATTGGACTCCTACAAATACAGAATTGATGCTAGGAAGGGTACCAGGAGATAGACGCACACAGATGGGATTTGGGAATAGGTTTGGTTATCCAAGGAGCAGTGCTGAGCTCCTTGCAATGGGATATGGGATGCTGGTGATTTCTAGGAAGTGAGCTCACAATGACTCAAGCTGCCACATACTGTTGATTGTGAAATGCCAGTTGAAGCATATGTCCTGCAAGCTTAGGGGTGCTACAAGTTGACCACTGCAGCAGTAAAGATGACTCTGAAGAATGGCGTGGGATGGTTCCTTTCAAATGCACTTGAGCAGCGGTCTCCAACCACAGGGCCACAGAGCTGGAGGTGAGCAGCAGGCGAGTGAAGGGAAACTTCATCTGTATTTCTAGCCCCTCCCATCGCTTGCATGACCACCTGAGCTCCATGTCCTGTCAGATCAGCAGCAGCATTAGATTGTCATAGGAGCACAAACTCTGTTGTGAAGTGTGCATGCGAGGGATCTAGGTTGTGTACTCCTTATGAGAATCTAATGCCTGATATTCTGTTACTGTCTCCCATCACCCCAGGTGGACAGTCTAGTTGCAGGAAAACAAGCTCAGAGATCCCACTGAGTCTACGTTATAGTGAGTTGTAGAATCATTTCATTATATATTACTATGTAGTAATAATAGAAATAAAGTGCACAATATATGTAATGCACTTGAATCATCCTGAAATTATTCCCTCATTCCCAGTCTGTGGAAAAATTGTCTTCCACACATTCACTCTGTTTTTTGGTAGAGGCAGGGTCTTAATATATTGCCCAGTCTGATCTCAAACTCCTGGCCTCAAGTAATATACCTCTCTCAGCCTCCCAAAGTGCTGAGATTACAGGCATAAGCCACCACCCTCAACCAAGACTTTCTTAAACCAAATAAAAATTAAGTGAGATTACTTGAGCCCAGGTGGTCAAGGCTGCAGTGAGCCTGATTGCACCACTGCACTCCAGCCTAGGTGACAGAATGAGACTGTCTCAAAAAATAAAATAAAATACAAATTAACCCTTTATGACATTCCCAGTAACTTCCTAAGTGCTCCCCACAAGTCTTTGAATTCTGTTTAATTTTCACATAACATTTAAGACATTTAAGAACTTATGTCTGTCTGTGTCATCCCTTTATGTCAAAAGATGTCTTTTTGTCACTTCCAGCTGGATCTACCATGAAAGACTTGTGAATCCAGGAAGAGAGACTGACTGGGCAACATGTTATTCAGGTACAAAAAGATTTGGACTGTAACTTAAAAATGATCAAATTATGTTTCCCATGCATCAGGTGCAATGGGAAGCTCTTCTGGAGAGTGAGAGAAGCTTCCAGTTAAGGTGACATTGAAGCCAAGTCCTGAAAGATGAGGAAGAGTTGTATGAGAGTGGGGAGGGAAGGGGGAGGTGGAGGGATGGGGAATGGGCCGGGATGGGATAGCGCAAACTGCCCGGGAAGGGAAACCAGCACTGTACAGACCTGAACAACGAAGATGGCATATTTTGTTCAGGGAATGGTGAATTAAGTGTGGCAGGAATGCTTTGTAGACACAGTAATTTGCTTGTATGGAATTTTGCCTGAGAGACCTCATTGCAGTTTCTGATTTTTTGATGTCTTCATCCATCACTGTCCTTGTCAAATAGTTTGGAACAGGTATAATGATCACAATAACCCCAAGCATAATATTTCGTTAATTCTCACAGAATCACATATAGGTGCCACAGTTATCCCCATTTTATGAATGGAGTGATGAAAACCTTAGGAATAATGAATGATTTGCGCAGGCTCACCTGGATATTAAGACTGAGTCAAATGTTGGGTCTGGTCTGACTTTAATGTTTGCTTTGTTCATGAGCACCACATATTGCCTCTCCTATGCAGTTAAGCAGGTAGGTGACAGAAAAGCCCATGTTTGTCTCTACTCACACACTTCCGACTGAATGTATGTATGGAGTTTCTACACCAGATTCTTCAGTGCTCTGGATATTAACTGGGTATCCCATGACTTTATTCTGACACTACCTGGAGTTAGCACAGACCCCACAAGTTAGGGGCTCAGTCCCACGAGGCCATCCTCACTTCAGATGACAATGGCAAGTCCTAAGTTGTCACCATACTTTTGACCAACCTGTTACCAATCGGGGGTTCCCGTAACTGTCTTCTTGGGTTTAATAATTTGCTAGAACAGTTTACGGAACTCAGAAAAACAGTTTATTTTCTTTTTTTCTGAGAGAGAGGGTCTTATTTTGTTGCCCAGGCTGGTGTGCAATGGTGCAGTCATAGCTCATTGCAGCCTTGATTGTCTGGGTTCCAGTGGTTCTCCCACCTCAGCCTCCCTAGTAGCTGAGACTACATGCCTGCACCACCACATCTGGCTAGTTTCTTTTATTTTTTGTATAGATGGGGTCTTGTTGTGTTGGCCAGGCTGGCCACAAATTCCTGGTCTCAAGTGATCCTCCCACCTCAGCCTCTGAAAGTGCTGGGATTACAGATGTGAGCCACCACATCTGGCCAGTTCATTTCCTATTACTGGTTCATTGTGAAGGATACATCTCAGAAACAGTCAATGAAAGAGACGTGCATGCTGGATGCAGTGGCTCATGCCTGTAATCTCAGCACTTTGGGAGGCCAAGGTGGGAGGATCGCTTAAACTCAGGAGTTTGAGACCAGCCTGGGCAACATGGTGAAAACCTGTCTCTATAAAAAATTAAAAAATAATAATAATAACTGGTGTGGTGTTGTGCACCTAGAGTTCCAACTACTAGGGAAGCTGAGATGAGAGGATACCTTGAGCTGGGGACTGGGGAGGCTTAGGTTACAGTAAGCTGAGATTGTGCCACTGCACTCCAGCTTGGACAAAAGAGCCTGATCCTGTCTCAAAAAAAAGAAAGATACCCAGGGCAAGTTAAGTTCGGAGGGGCACAGAGCTCCCATGCCCTCTGTTGAACATGCGACCCTCCCAGCATCTCCTGTGTCCAGCAACCCTGAAAGCTCTGCAAACCCCTTTCAGGGTGTTTATGGAGGCTTTATTATGCAAGCATGATTGATAAAACCTTTGGCTGTTGGTGATTAAGTCAGTCTCCAGCCCCTCTTCCCCCTGGAGTTCAGTGCATGAGGCTGAAAGTTCCAAGCCTCTTACCATGTGGTTGCATGGTAATCAGCCCTCCTCTTGAAGAAATTTAGGAGCTTGCAGTCACCCAGTCATCTCAACAACATCCCCAAATGCATTCTTACCATGCTGGAGATCCCAAAGTTCTTAGAGGCTCTTGTGTTAGAAACCTGGGACCAAGATCAAATATTAAAACAAAAGATGCTCCTGTCACATCTATCACTGAGGTCTTTGTAAGAGCTTTAGAAGCTCTGTGCCAGGAACCAGGGACAGAGATTAAATATATATTTCTTTTCTTTTTTTTGAGACAGAATCTCCCTGTGCCATCCAGGCTGGAGTGCAGTGATGTGATCATAGCTCACTATAGCTTTGGCCTTCTGAGATCAAGCAATCCTCCCATCTCAACCTCCCAAGTAGCTAGGACTACACATGCATGTCACCCATGCCCAGATCATTTTTGTAGAGTCAGAGTTTCACCGTGGTGGCCAGGTTGGCCATGTTGGCCAGATGGGGTCTTCTTTTGTTGCCCAGGCTGGCCACAAATTCCTGGGCTCAAGTGATCCTCCCACCTCGTCCTTGTAGAGATGAGATTTAGTTACGTCGTCCAGGCTGATCTCAAACTCCTGGGCTAAATCGATTGTCTCACCTCAGCCTCTCAAGTATGTTATGAAGGTTATATGTTAGGAAGGGTCCCAGGAGGTAGACCCACACAGATGGGATTTGGGCATAGGTTTGGTTTCCCAGGGGGCAGTGCTGAGCTCTTTGCCAGTGGGAAATGGGATGCTGGTGATTTCCAGTAGGTGACCTCACAGTGACTCAAGCTACCACTTACTGTTGATTGTGACGAAATGCCAGCTGAGGCACATGCCTTGGGAGCTAAGTGGTTGCTGCCCTTGACCACTGTGAAGACTGGTGTGGGAAGGGTCGTTTTGGATGCACTTGAGCAGGGGTCCCCAACCCCTGAGCCATGGAGCCGCAAGGAGCCACACAGCAGGAGGTGAGCGGTGTCGAGTGAGGGAGTGAGGGAAGCTTCGTCTGTATTTACAGCCACTCCCCTTTGCTCACATTCCCACCTGAGCTCCACCTTCTCAGATGAGCAGCAGCGTTAGATTCTCATAGGAGAACGCACCCTGTTGTGAACCGTGCATGTGAGGGATCTAGGTTGCGCTGTCCTTATGAGAGTCTAATACCTATTGATCTGTCACTTTCTCCCATCACGCTCAGGTGGGAACATCCAGTTGCGGGAAAACAAGCTTAACACGCCCACTGATTCTACATTATGGTGAGTTCTATAATTATTTTATTATATATCACAGTGTAATAATGGAAATAAAGTGCCTAATAAATGCAAATGTGCTTACATCTTTTGGCCCAGCTCCTACCTCCCGGCAGCCTCTCCAGGCCCAGAACTTTCTCCAGTCAGCCTCTACAGACCAAGCTCATGACTCACAATGGCCTATTTAGGCCCATACCCTACGTCACGGCAGCCTCCGCAGATGAGCCTACTGCCTCACAACAGCCTCCACAGGCACAGCTCCATCGTTACAATGGCCTCTTTAGACCCAGCTCCTGCCTCCCAGCCTTCTCTCCAGGCTCTGAACTTTCTCAGTAAGTTCAGGTAGCTGGGACTGTAGGTATACATGATGATACTTGGCTAATTTTTAAATTGTTTTGTAGACACGGGGTCTCACTTTGTTGGCCAGGCTGGTGTCAAACTAATGGCCTCAAGTGACCCTTCCACCCCTGCCTCCCATCCTCGAGGCATGTGCCACCACAAGGAGCACTTGTTCAATTTTCTAAAAAAAAAATGTCTAAAGTAAGGCTGTGGGATGATGGCAGGAAGATAAAAGAAAAACAGAAGAATAAGTTAAAATGACTTATTCACACATATTCTTTTGACAGCAAGAAGAACTTTTAGTATGTACATTCCTTACAAACAAACAAAAGGCAGATAAACAATGTTGTATAGGAACTTCAACACACACTGTACAATATTCCCACTTTGCTGACATAAGTTATGGAAATTTCATGGTTTACTTGAGTGTCGCTACCAGTATTTTGCTTCTCTGATGATTTTTATCAACTTCCTCATCTGTTAACTTCTCTCCAAGGTATGTCATGTCACGACATACTGCCGCTGCACGAACATGGCCAGTGTCTTCCTATTCAACATGTAGAATGCTTTCCTAATTTCTCTTTTTACTCTCTGTCTTTGTGTTCTGCATTTTCCTTACTTTTATTGTCAGAAACTCCAGAAAGTCAATCGTACTAATTTATCACGATTTGCTTTATTAATTTATACTTTGCTTATATGGAATTTTGCCCAGCAGACCTCATTACAATTTCTAACCTGTTTTATTTTGTTTTTTTTTCTGAGACAGGGTCTCCCTCTGTTGTCCAAGGCTGGAGTGTAGTAGTGCTATCGCAGCTGACTGCAGCCTCAACCTTCCAGGCTGAAGCGATCCTCCCACCTCAACCTCCCACGTGGCTGAGACTACAGGTGCTTGCCACTATGCCCAACTAACATTTGGAATTTTCGTATACGTGGATTCCAGAGGGGTGACAGCGAAACGTGAGTAAGCATGGATTTTGGTATATGCAGAGATGGGGGGCTGGAACTAATTCTGTATACTGAGGGACGACGACTATATGTTTTTACAATTATGCTGTGGGATACATACTGTTGCATAGCCTTGAAAATAATAACTTTTAATTGAGTGGAATAAGAATAATATTGATAAAAGTAGCAGCTGGCCAGGTGTGGTGGCTCACACTGGTAATCGCAACACTTTGGGAGGCTGAGGCAGGAGGATGGCTTGAGGCCAAGAGTTTGCGATAGGCCTTGGAAACAAAGGGGGAGTCACCATCCCTACAGAAAAATACATGAATTAGCCTAGTGTGGTGGCATGTTCCTGTAGTCCCAGCTACTTGGGAGGCTGAGGTGGGAGGATCACTTGAGCCCAGGGAGGCTGAGACTGCAGTGAGTCATGATCAGGCCTCTGCACTCCAGCCTGGGTGACAGAGTGAGACCCTGTCTCAAAACAACAAAAAAGTAGCAGCTAACATCAACTGACCTTTTACCAGGTGCCTATTGATACCATAGTTTAATTTCTTATAACTGTTTCTTATTTCACTTACCAACTCTGTCTTCAGTTACTCCCAGATTTTTACTGTGTGTGTACAGATGACCTTTTGTTTAGATTGAATTGTCTCCCCAGAAGTAAGATTACTGTGAGTCATGGTGAATGGACATTCTCCTTACCCTTGATGTAAATTGACAGGGTTTTGGGTGCCTCCCAGCTATAATCTTAGCACTTTGGGAGGCTAAGAGAGGAGGATTGCTTGAGGCCAAGAGTTGGAGGAGGCAGTATGGCAGTATGGTGAGACCCTGTCTCCATTATTTTAAAAAATTGACAGGCTTTACCCGGGAAGGCTTATACACAATTTAAACACCCCTCATAGTATAAGAAGGTGCCCATTTCACTGCACCTTTGCCAGCACAGGGTATTATAATTTAGTAAGTCATTTTTTGTTTGATTATTTTACATAGACAAAAGAACTCATATTACTTTACTTGTCACATTTCAACATCTTTCCTCAGCTTATTAGCTCTATTTCTTTTCTGTCTGTAAATGGTTGTTGCTGTTTTGGTCTTTGAGACAGGGTCTTGCTCTGTCACCAGGCTGGACTGTAGTGGCATAATCATGCCTCACTGCAGCCTTGACCTCCCAGGCTCAAACTTCAGCATTCCGAGTAGCTGGGACTACAAGTGTGCACCACCACCCCCAGCTAACTTTTTTCTTCTTTTGGATAGAGACAGGGTCTCACTCTGTTGTCCAGACCGGTCTCTAGCTCCTGGCCTTAAGCAATCCTCCTGCATTAGCTTCTGAAATTACTGGAATTTCAGGCATGAGCCACCATGCCTGGCCTGGGCTAGTCCCATATTCTCTAGAGTTCTCTTTACTCTGTGCTAGCCAATCTCTCATTATGCTGTTCACCTGTTATAATGAATAATTCTCTGTATTAAATTTTACCACTTTAAACTTTTGAGTGGTTTATGCTTCCTGATTGGACTCTGACTAATATGTTAGGAAGGGTCCCAGGAGGTAAACCCACACAGATGGGATTTGGGCATAGGTTTGGTTTCCCAGGGGGCAGTGCTGAGCTCTTTGCCAGTGGGAAATGGGGTGCTGGTGATTTCCAGTAGGTGACCTCACAGTGACTCAAGCTACCACTTACTGTTGATTGTGACGAAATGCCAGCTGAGGCACATGCCTTGGGAGCTAAGTGGTTGCTGCCCTTGACCACTGTGAAGACTGGTGTGGGAAGGGTCGCTTTGGATGCACTTGAGCAGGGGTCCCCAACCCCTGAGCCATGGAGCCGCAAGGAGCCACACAGCAGGAGGTGAGCGGTGTCGAGTGAGGGAGTGAGGGAAGCTTCGTCTGTATTTAGAGCCACTCCCCTTTGCTCACATTCCCGCCTGAGCTCCACCTTCTCAGATGAGCAGCAGCATTAGATGCTCATAGGAGAACGCACCCTGTTGTGAACCGTGCATGTGAGGGATCGAGGTTGCGCTGTCCTTATGAGAATCTAATACCTATTGATCTGTCACTTTCTCCCATCACGCTCAGGTGGGACCATCCAGTTGCAGGAAAACAAGCTTAACACGCCCACTAATTCTACATTATGGTGAGTTCTATAATTATTTTATTATATATTACAGTGTAATAATGGAAATAAAGTGCCTAATAAATGCAAATGTGCTTACATCTTTTGGCCCAGCTCCTACCTCCCGGCAGCCTCTCCAGGCCCAGAACTTTCTCCAGTCAGCCTCTACAGACCAAGCTCATGACTCACAATGGCCTATTTAGGCCCATACCCTACGTCACGGCAGCCTCCGCAGATGAGGCTACTGCCTCACAACAGCCTCCACAGGCACAGCTCCATCGTTACAATGGCCTCTTTAGACCCAGCTCCTGCCTCCCAGCCTTCTCTCCAGGCCCTGAACTTTCTCAAGTCGACCTCACCAGGCCCAGCTCATGCTTCTTTGCAGCCTCTCCAGGCCCAGCTCCTGCATCTTGGTGGCCCCTCCAGGCCCAGCCTCTGCCTCCCGTCGGCCTCTGCAGTCCCAACGTCTGCCTCACAGCAGATTCTTCACGCCCAGCATCTACCTCACTGTGGACCCCCCAAGCCAAGCTCCCAACCTTTCAGCAGCTTCTACACACCCAGCTCCTGCCACCCAGTGGCCTCTTTAGGCCAAGCTCATGCTTCACAAGGGCCTTTCCAGGCCCAACTTTTGTCTCATGGCAACCTTCCCTGGCCAGATTCCTGCCTGTCTCCCAGCAGCCTAGACAGGCCCAGGTCTTGCCTCACACTGGCCTCTCTACATCCAGCTTATGCCTCACGGTGGCCTCTCCAGGCCCAACTCCTGTCCCAGGACGTCATCTCCGGGCCCAAAACTTACTCAAGTTAGACTCTCTAGTCCCAACTGCTGCCTCCTGGTGGCCTATGAAGGCCCAAAATCTCCTCAAGTTGACCTGTCCAGGCCCAGCTCCTGCCTCCTGTCAGCGTCTACAGGCCCAACCTCTGCCTCATGGGGGCTTCTCCAGGCCCACCTCTTCCTCTTGGCTGGGTCTACAGGCACAACTGCTGCCTCACAACAGCCTTTTTTGGCCCAGTTCCTGTCCAGCTCATGGCGGCCAATGTAGGCCCAAAACTTCCTCAAGTCAAACTCTCCAGGCCCACCTTCTGCTTCCCGGTGGCATCAACAGGCCCAGCTTTGACTTGAGAACAGCCTCTGCAGGCCCTGCTCTTGCCTCCCAGGGGCTTTTTCCAGGCCCAGCTCTTGCCTCATGGCAGCTGCCCCAGGCCAAATTTCTGCCTGCCTGCCAGCAGCCTCAACAGGCACAGCTCCTCCCTCACAGTGGCCCATTTAGGCCCAACTCATGACTGTGAGGCCATTTCCAGGCCTAGTGCCTGCCTCGTGGCTGACTCTTGAAGCCCAAAACTTCCTCAAATCAGGCTTTTGCCCAACTTCTGTCTACTGTCGGACTCTACAGGTCAGCCTCTGCCTCACAGTGGACCCTCCAGACCCAGATGGTGTCTCACTGTGGCATCCTCAGGCGAAGCTCCTGCCTTTCGGCAGCCTCTCCAGGCCCAGCTCCTCCTGCCTCCCAGTGGCCTCTTTCGGCCCAGCCCAGCTCATGCCTCCCGGCGGCCTTCCCAAGCCCCGCTTTTGACTTTCGGTGGCCTCTGCAGGCCTCGACAAGGCCCAGCCTCCTGCCTCCCGAAGGCCTGCACAGGCCCAGCCTCTGCCTCACAGCGGACTCTCCACGCCCAGCTAGCTGTTGCTTCACTGCGGCCTCCCGAGTCCAAAGCTCCTGCCTCTCGGCCGCTTCGGCAGGCCCAGCTCCCGCCTGCCAGTGGCCTCTTCAGGCCCATGGGGCTCATTCCTGACAACGGCCTTTCCAGGCCCAGTTTTTCCCTTCCGGCGGCCTCTCCGGGCCCAGAACCTCCTCAAGTCGGCCTCTCCAGACCCACTTGCACCCTCCGGGCGTTCTCTCCGGGCCCAGCTCTTCTTCCTGGTTGGGTCTCCAGGCCCGATTCCTGCCTCTCAACAACCTCTTTGGACTCAGTGCCTACCCATCTCCTGGCGGCCTTGGTCGGCCCACAGCTTCCTCAAGCCAAGCTCCCCAGGCCCAGGTCAGGCCTCACGGTGGCCTCTCCAGGATGAGCTCCTGCCCTCCGATGGCATCTCCAGGCCCCAAATGGTCTCCGGTCGGTGGGCTCCTCCACGCCAAGGTTGGGCCTCCCGGCGACCGCCGCAGGCCCAAGTTGTCCTGAAGTCGGGCTCTCCCGGCCCTGCCTCCCAGCAAGTAAGCAAGCTCTTTTGGCTCAACTCCTGCCCAGCTCCCAACCGCCTTTGTAGGCCCCGAACTTTCTCCAGCCAAGCTCTGAGGGCCCACCTCCTGCCTCCTGGTGGCCTGTACAGTTCTAGCACTGGTTGGAGAACAGCCTCTGCAGGCCCCTCCCTTGCCTCCCAGGGGCCTCTCCAGGCCCAGCTCTTGCCCCCACGGCGGCCTCCCGGGGCCAAGTCCCTGCCTGCCTCCCAGCAGCCCGCGTGCGGCCCAGCTCCTCCCTCACGGTGGCCTGTTGATGCCCAACTCATGCCTCTGGCACCCTGCCCAGAGGCGTGAGCCCCTGCCTCACACTGGCTCCTCCCACGCTGAGAGAGGTCAGTGTGAGCCCTTGCCTCACACCGGCCCCTCCCACGCGGACAGAGGTCAGCGTGAGCCCCTTGCCTCACACCGGCCCCTCCCATGCTGAGAGAGGTCAGTGTGAGCCCTTGCCTCACCCCGGCCCCTCCCACGTGGACAGAGGTCAGCGTGAGCCCCTTGTCTCACACCGGCCCCTCCCACGCTGAGAGAGGTCAGTGTGAGCCCTTGCCTCACACCGGCCCCTCCCACGCGGACAGAGGTCAGCGTGACCCCCTGCCTCAACAGGCCACCGTGAGGGAGGAACAGGATCGCACTCGGGCTGCTGGGAGGTAGGCAGGGACTTGGGCCTGGGAGGTCGCGGTGGGGCGAGAGCTGGGCCTGGAGACTCCCCTGGGAGGCAACAGCGGGGTCTGCAGACGCCCTTCTCCAGCCGGAGCTGGGACTGTTCAGTCACTGGGAGAAGGGATGTGGGTCTGAAGAGCTTGGTTGCAGAAACTTTGGGGTCTACAAACGCAGGCGGGAGCTGAGCCAAAAGAGCTTGTTTGCTGGGAGGTGGGAGATGCAGCCAGGAGGAACAGCTGGGCAATGCGGGAGGCAGAGGCCAGGCCTCCTTAAGTTGGCCTCTCAGACCCACTTGCAGCCTCCCGGCGCCCCCTCCGGGCCCAGCTCTTCCTCCCGGCTGCATCTCCAGGCCGGACTCTGGCCCGACTCCAGGTCCCAACAACGTCTTTGGACTCAGCTCCTGCCCAGCTCCCAGCGGCCCTGGTAGGCCCACAACTTCCCTAAGCCAAGCTCCCCAGGCCCAGCTCAGGCCTCGCGGTGGCCTCTCCAGGCTCAGCTCCTGGCCCTCCGATGACATCTGCAGGCCCCAAATGGCCTCCGGTCGGTGGGCTCCTCTAGGCCCAGCTTGGGCCTCCCGGCGGCCTCCGCAGGCCCAAATCGTCCCGAAGTCAGTCTCTCCAGGCTTAGCTCCAGCCTCCCGGCGGCCTCTGCAGGCCCAAGTCGTCCTCAAGTCGGCCTGGAAGTGGGCCTGGAAGAGCAGCAAGTCGGCCTCCCTGGGCCCAGCTCCGTCCTCTCGACGGCCTCTCCAGGTGCAAAACTTCCTCGAGTCAGCCTCTCCAGGCCCAGCTCCTCCTGCCTCCCAGTGGCCTCTTTCGGCCCAGCCCAGCTCATGGCTCTCGGCGGCCTTCCCAGGCCCCGCTTTTGACTTTTGGCAGCCTCTTCAGGCGCAGAACTTGATCTCCAGTCGGCCTTTGCAGGCCCGGCCTCCTGCCTCTCGAAGGCCTGCACGGGCCCGGCCTCGGCCTCGGCCTCACAGCAGACTCTCCACGCCCAGCTAGCTCTCGCCTCACTGCGGCCTCCCCAGTCCAAAGCTCCTGCCTTTCGGCCACTTCGGCAGGTCCAGCTCCTGCCTGCCAGTGGCCTCTTTAGGCCCAGCTCATTCCTCACGTCGGCCATTCCAGGCCCCGTTTTTCCCTTCCGGCAGCCTCTTGGCCTCTAATTTGTTTATCTTTTGTGTATAAATCCCAAAATATTGAATTTTGGAATATTTCCACCATTATGTAAATATTTTGATAGGTAATTTATTTGGAGTGAGTTTCTGCGCCAAGCCCGAATTTTTTATTTTATTTTCCTTATTATTTGGTGTTAAACAGGTTTAATGACGGTCATGGCAACTTTTTGGCACAATGAAAAATATCGCCCACGATCAACGTGTTCTGTTCTGGGGAAGGGGGCAAAGGCAGGGTGAATCACTTTCTTAAAAAGTATAGCTCAAGTTGGGAGTGCAGAGGGAATGGGGAGAAAACCCTCCCGCTGCCTGTGTCGAAGTGCAGGAGCCCCCACCCCCATACTCACCTGAGTCCAGCCCCTCTGGGGAAAGAAGGGGTGCATGAACTCCCCCTAGTCCACAGGCGCCTCCCTGTGGCCCAAGGCCCTCTTCACACTCCATCTTGTAGCCCCAGCAGGAGCTATTTTCCGAAAAGTGAAAAGCTCTGAAGGTCCCACAATTCATGGTATGTACAGGGGCTCGGAGGAGGGAAACTGCCCAGCTTTCCCCCGGCACAGCTGCAGGGGTAGGGGGTATAGATAAGAGGAGCAGGCCTTGGCCAGGCGTGGTGGCTCACGCCTGTAATCCCAGCACTTTGGGAGGGGGAGGCAGGCAGATCACGATGTCAGGAGATCGAAATCAGCCTGGCCAAGATGATGAAGCCCCGTCTGTACTAAAAATACAAAAATTAGCCGGACGTGGTAGCGTCCACCTGTAATCCTAGCTACCCGGAAGGCTGAGGCAGGAGAATGGCGTGAACCCGGCGGGAAGAGGTTGCAGTGAGCCAAGATCGCACCACTGCACTCCAGCCTGGGCGACAGAGCAAGACTCGGTCTCAAAAAAAAAAAAAAAAAAAAAAAAAGGAAGGCCTTACTCCGTCCCAAACTGAAAGGATTAAATGGCTTCACCTGGGAGAAGATAACCATCCTGCCCTCCATTGCTACCCCCACATACTGTCCATGTTCTCAGGGGGTACTGTGAGTCCTGGGATCTTTGGGGTTGCCCACCTGCCTGTGGTAGTTATGGAGACCCCCAGGTGTTGAGGCAGGGCTGGGGTGTCCCCTTCCAACCAGGCTGTCAAGGCCCCAACTCTGGGGCAGAGGCAGTGGCAGGGCAGCCAGGGTTGTGCCAGAGCCTGAGCAGGTTGAGGTGGGGTCAGGCAGGGCTGGGAGTCAGGGCAGGGGCAGCAGCAGTGGACCTGCTATGCACACATCTTCTTCTCCAAGGTTTGTGTGCAGAACATCCTGCCCATGCTGCCCTAGCAGCTTCAGTTGGCACCTGCCTCAGTCCAGCCTCTGGGAACCATGCAGCAGCTCCCAGCGGCCCTGCACCCACCACCAGCATCCGTTTCACCTGCAGTTGAAGATCCGTGAGGTGCCCAGAAGATCATGCAGTCATCAGTCCCACGGAGCAGCCTGCGAGGCTGAGGCTCCTCCCACTGGACCGCCCCCCAACTGGCACCACTGCTGCCCCTGCCCCTACTCTCAGCCTCACGTGACTCTCGGGCAGAAGCAGTGGTGGGGCAGCCAGGGCAGCGTCAAGAGTCTGAGCCAGGTGAGGTGCGGTCAGGACCCCCACAGGGCTGGGAGTCAGGGCAGGGGCAGAACAAACCTTGGAGGGGAAGATGTGTGCATAGTGGGCCTGGAGGGCGGCTGTGGCCTAGTGGACAGGAAGAAGCAGTGGGCCTGGAAGAGCTGCATGATCAGGGCCGGCACTGGTCCAGGGTACGTGCAGTGAAGAGGACAGCGCCTTCTCGGTCTCCGGTTCCCTGAGCCTGTCCTCGGCTTCTCCACCTGTACAGGCAAAGGGGAAGCTGTCCCCATCACACATGGCACACTTGGGGGTGTTGGGCTTTGGACTGCAGCTGGAGCATCTTCTCGTCTTGCATTTGGGCGCGGTGGGGTCCTCCAGTGTGGGATCCATGTCCGTGGGGTTCCCTCTGCCCCGACCCCGAAAGCCCAGTCAGTTTCTCTTCAGGCTCTGCCCCCCGGGTGGCTCAGCCCAGCTCCTGCCTAGGAAAGCCTTAGTGTTGGGAGGGACCCTGATGACTGAGGAGCCTGGTAGCTCCAGGTCGCCCACACTTTCAGGTCTCTTGCACCAGAAGGTGGCAGGATCCATTGGGAGGAAACAGGCCACCTTGGAAGGCGTCCCTGGGCCCCCATCCCCAGGGGTTGGGGCCGTAGGGGGCCCGCTCTGCTGCGTTGACCAGACTCCTGGGCTTTGAAGGCTCCTGGGCCCAGTAAGAAGGAGGTGGGTGCCAAGGTTGAGGAGGAAGCATCCGAGTACGTGTAGGAGGAGGACAGGGTGTGACCATAGACTGCCAAAAGCTGCAGGTGGATCGGGGGACCCTGGGGGCTCAGGATCCAGCAAGGGGCGGCAGGAGTAAAGGAGGAAGGAATGACAGGTGCAAATACCTTCCCACCAAAGCCCTTGTTGCCCTCTGGCTCCTCCCCAGAGTTGTCCCCACTCTCAGTCGGTCACCCACTCCTTGAACTTGAGATCGGTGTCGGTGGTGCTAAAGCCATCATCAGCAATGACATCATCACCCCCTCCTCCTCATGGATGACCGTGTGCTCTTCGTCACTCGCTATGACCTCGCTGGCCATGTGCTGGGAATGAGCAGCTCACGTGGGCGGCAGCAGGGCTGCCCACGGGTCACCTCCCTCACCAGGGGCTGCAAAGTGGCCTGGAGCTCCATGCTGAGTAGAAGGCTTTGGGCCAGAGTATGATGCAGTGCCAGACACCACCTGTGTCAGTTCCCGTAGTGCCTGACGGTCTATTTCCCTGCCGTCCAGGCTGTGTACCCCGCTGTGGGAGAAGGCTTGGGCCAGGCTGAGCCAGGTTCCCTGACTGTGTGCAGCCGTTCTGCCCCACAGAAGCTGCTCCTTGGTATCCGAGCTCTGGAGTGTTTGGGCTGCAACTGACAGGAGTTCAGAGGACACCCCAGGGGCAGTGGCCGTGCCCGTCTCTGATATGCTCCGCTCCCACGAGCCCTTGTTACACTCCTGCTAGCCCCTGGCTTGTGGGCTTGGCCTCTGAGCTGGACTTCTTTCGGTCCTTGTTGCAAGTGGGCCACCTTCACCTGGAAGGCCAGGTTGTATTTCTGCATCTCATTGGGCCCCAGGGTGTACCACCGCTCGCTCAGCATCTGGCTGACGGTCCGGTTATCCTGGTTGGGGTGACCCTGGTGCGCCCCGCCAGGGCCTGGTGCCGCCTGCTGAAGATCATGAGCGCCACTCATGGGCCACCGGATGTGGTCCTTGTCTGATTTGTTGGGGCTGCGTCCATCCTTCTCAGAAGATGAGTCCTGTTCCTTGCGCAGGGCACTGAGGGACTGGGCCTGACATCATCTGAGTGGTAGAGGCAACTGGGTGTCAGGAGACATGATGGAGAGGAAAGCATCATCATGGTCATTCTCTGTCTCACTGTCCAGCAGGGACTCCCCTGAGGGGCCCAGGGCTCCTCCTCCATGGTGGGAGGTGAGCTTTTACCAGGTTCCACCACCCCCAAAGTGTGTGGGGTTGCGGGCCCTGGGCTTTCAGGGCAGGTGGCTCCAGGGGGCCGCCCAGGGTCAACACTCCCTGTCCCACCTGGTGGACGCTCATGAGCAACGGCTGCCAACTTGGCAGGTTGTTTTCTCTGGTTGGAGGCCACTGAGTGACTGGCAGGTTGCTGGGCCTCGTGTGGCTGCAGGGAGGGGTCAGGAAGGGGATGGAGTACCAGGAGAACACGGCCGCAGAGTGACCTTCCACATTCCTCCACACGAACATGCTGACGCCACGGGAGGCCTCACTGAACGCAGGCCTGGGGGCCGAGCACTTGGTCCGGGCAGGGGGTTCCTGGCAGGGGCTCACACCTCCTCGCCCCCTCCTCAGCCAAGGTGGCTTGGGCCCAGAGAAGGGGAGGTTGGAGAGGAGCAGAAGGCCAGGCCTCAAGTTTTGTTTTTTTTGTTTGTTTTGTTTTTTGTTTTTGAAATGTAGTTTGACTCTTGTCACCCAGGCTGGAGTGCAGTGGCACGATCTCAGTGGCCTTCATACCTGGCTAATTTTTTGTATTTTTACTGGAGGTGGGGTTTTGCCATGTTGGCCAGGCTGGTCTTGACCTCCCGACCTCAGGTGATCCACCCACCTCAGCCTCCCAAAATGGGATTACAGGCATGAGCTACCGCTCCCAACTTCATTCATTTTTACTTGAAAAACTCCGTTAAGCATTTTTTTAAGGTAGACCTAGTGGTCCTGAATGCCCTCAGCTTTGTTTGTCGAGGAAACACGTTATTTCTTTTTCCTTTCTGAAGGACAGCTTTGTCAGACATAGTATTAGTTGCTGGCAGTTTTTTTCTTTCAGCACTTTGAATGTATTATTCGATTCTGTCCTGACCTGCAAAGTTTCTTTAACTTTTGACTATTTGATTATATTGTGACTTGGTGAGTATCTATTTGGTTTGAACCTCTTTAGGAATCTTTAAGCTTCATGGATTTAGATGTCTAAATCTTTCCCATGATTTAGGCAGTTGTCAGCCATTCTTTAAATAAGCTTTATTCTCCTTTCTCTACTTTCCTTCTCAAACTCCCATAACCTGACAATGGTTTGCTTAATGGTGTCTTGTTGGCTTTCTTTTCTCTGTCTCTTTTTTTTTTCTTTTTGAGACAGAGTCATGCTCTGTCACCCAGGCTGGAGTGTAATGTGTGGTCTCGGCTCACATTGCACTCCAACCTCCGCCTCCTGGGTTCAAGCGATTCTCCTGCCTCAGCCTCCTAAGTAGCTGGGACTACAGGTGTGTGCCACCACACCCGGCTAATTTTTGTATTTTTAGTAGAGATGGGGCTTTGTCATGTTGGACAGGCTGGTCTTGAACTCCTGACCTCTTAATCTGCCTGCCTCGGCCTCCCAAAGTGTTGGGATTACAGGCTTGAGCCACCACACCCAGCCTTCTTTTCTCTCTTTTATTCTTTTTTTCTCTGTCCTCTGACTGGATAATTTCGGAAGATCTATATTCAAGTTTACAGATTCTCTCTCCTGTTGAAGTTGACTATTGTGTTATATCACCCAGTCTGGTCTTGAACTCCTGGGCTCAAGCGATCCTCCCACCTTGGCCTCCCAAAGTGCTGAGTTTACAAGCATGAGCCACTGCATCCAGTCAGTCCCAGCACTTTGGGAAGCTGAGGTGGGAGGATCACTTGAGCTCAGGAGTTTGAGACCAGCCTGGGCAACGTACTGAGAACTTGTCTCTATATTAAAAAAAAAAAAAAAAAGTCTTTGGGAGGCCAAAGCGGGAGGATCACCTGAGGTCAGGAGTTCGAGACCAGCCTGGCCATCATGGCAAAACCCCATCTCTACTAAAAATACAAAAATTAGCCAGGTGTGGTGGCACACGCCTGTAGTGGTGGTGCATGCCTATAGTCCCAGCTACTCAAGAGGCTGAGGCAGGAGAATCACTTGAACTGGGAGAGGGAGGTTGCAGTGAGCTGAGATCGCACCAGTGCACTCCAGCCTGGGCAACAGAGTGAGACTCCATCTTATAAAAGGAAAAAAGAAAGAAAAGAAAAATTCCATATCTGAGTGTTTACTCCTGAGTTTTTGAGATTGTTATTAAGATCGTGCTCTACTGTGATGATTTGGGTTTGTTTGATAATCAGAAAAAAAGCGTATTCTTTTAGGTGTTCAGCCACACTGCTTTGGTGTCACAACTGCACATTGGTTTCACAGCTGCAGGACAAGTTCGAGCATCTTAAAATGATTCAACAGGAGGAGATAAGGAAGCTCGAGGAAGAGAAAAAACAACTGGAAGGAGAAATCATAGATTTTTATAAAATGAAAGCTGCCTCTGAAGCACTGCAGACTCAGCTGAGCACCGATACAAAGAAAGACAAACATCGTAAGAAGCAATAGTTTCTCTTACTATTCTGAGAGCCTTATCATTCTACATCCCATCTTCCTGTGAGTTTGTCTTTGTAGCATTTAACTCTAATTGCAGTTCTCATTTTAAAAACTGGCTTGCTTATTGTATATTTTCCCCAACTAAAGCGTGAACTCCTAGCAGGGCGTGGTGGCTCATGCCTGTAATCTCAGCACTGTGGGAGGCCGAGGTGGGTCGACTACCTGAGGTTAGGAGTTCGAGACCAGCCTGACCAACATGATGAAACGCTGTCTCTACTAAAAATACAAAAATTAGCTAGGCGTGGTGGCTGGGACCTGTAATCCCAGCTACTTGGGAGGCTGAGGCAGGAGAATCACTTGAACCCTGGAGGTGGAGGTTGCAGTGAGCAGAGATCTCACCATTACACTCCAGCCTGGGTGACAAGAGCAAAACTGCATCTCAAAAAAAAAAAAAAAAAGGGGGTGAACTTGAAGGCAGGTCCTGTGTCCATCTTTTCAGATTCTGTATCCCAGCACTTAGGACATAGACAAACACGAAGATGACAATCAATATTTGCCAAAATGAAAAAACAAAAGAAACATGTAACATCATGTAAAAGAAGCTGGTTAGGTGGAGAAATTTATTTACCATAGTCTTGCTTGTGGATCCAGTAGTGACTTTTACAGTTTGTATCTAAATAGAAGCTGGAGGCTTTGTTGGGGACTCATAGGCATAAAATATTATTTATTATAGAGTTAAATGCTACAAAGACAAATCTAATTAATAGGCCTATTTTCCTTTTTAAATTCTACTCATAATTTCTTCATAGTTTTTATGATAAAAGGTTGGATTTTGATTAGAACTCCCATGATTTTGTGTCAGAATTAAAACTGGTATTAGAATAAATAATTCAAAAGCTAGAGAAAGAGTACAAAGAGAAGCCATGAGTTGCATTTGAATTATAATATTATGTCTTACAGATTTGGGGTATATGCTAAAGTTACCAAAGTTGTAGAAAATAAGGCCGGGCATTGTGGCTCACATCTGTAATTCCAGCACTTTGGGAGGCCGAGGTGGGCGGATCATTTGAGGTCAGGAGTTCGAGACCAGCCTGGCCAACATGGTGAAACTCCGTCTGTACTAATAGTACAAAAATTAGCCAGGCGTGATGGTGTGCACCTGTAGTCCTTGCTACTCAGAAAGCTGAGGCAGGAGAATCGCTTGTACCCAGGAGGCAGAGGTTGCAGTGAGCAGAGATTGTGCCACTGCACTCCAGCCTGGGTGACAGAGTGCTATGAGTCACCACACCTGGTATGAGCCACCGTGCCTGGCCCACAATGACTTTTACACATGTTGTTAAATCATCTTACAGATTTTATAATTTGGGGGAAGAAAAGTTTTACTAAATGGTCTTTTAATGGAAACTCTACAAGAACCAGAATCTTTGCTTTGTTCACTTATGTATCCATTCCTAGGCCTAGAAAAATGTCTGACACATAGCGGCAATTATTCATTGAATAAATGGACCCAGCGATAGTACATTAGCTATGCTATATGCATACATTAAAGATGTAGATTATCGACTTTCAAAAGATAATTAATGTAACTTCTTACTGCTTCTGAACATGTTTGTGAGTTATATTGCTGAGGGACCTTTATCTTCTCATTCTTTCATCTTAACCCAGTGTTATAAAATTGAAATCACCAATATTATTCCATATCTAAAATTAATATCTACCTTGTAAAAAATATCACTCTGCTGCATTTGAGAATAGACTTTTTAGGTAATAATGATGCAATCCATAGGGTTTTTGGGGGCACAGAGGGATTCATGCTAACAGAACATTTTATTTTCTATTTTCCCAGAGCTGTAAAACATGAAATTACGGTAGTATAAGGCATATTTTTACTCTTTTTATAATTTTTTCTAAAAAAAATTAGTGTTTGTTCCCTATATAACTTTTAACTTTATAGGTAAATATTTGTTTCTTTCAGCTCCAGTTTTATGTGAAATAGAGTTTTCAGATTTATGTAGCATGGAAAGTTTTAATACGTCAGAGTTACTGATTTTTGCCAATCATTTTCTCAATTATTTCTTTTTTATCTTTAGTTGATTTTTTTGTAGTGACACATTTTGTTTCTAGTCTCATTTCCTTTTGTTTATATTCTATATATATTTCATTTTTGGTTACTATGAGAATTACATATAACATCCTAGAGTTATAACATTTTAATTTGAATTTATTTCAACTTAAGTTCAATCACATACCAAAATTCTACTGCTATATATATAGCTCTACTCTTTTTATGTTATTGATGTGACAAATTATATCTTTATTCATTGTATACCAGCTAACAGATTTACAATTACATTTTATGCATTTGCCTTTTAAATTATGTAGAAAATAAAAAGCAGAGTTACAAACCAAAATTACAATAGGACTGTTTTTATGTTTATGTATTTACCTTTACCAGAGAGCTTTGTATATTCATACAGCTTGCTTATTTACTTACATAGTTATTGCCTAGAGTTCATTTATTTCAACCTGAAGGACTTAACACTTCCTGAATGTCAAATTCAGGGATAAATGGATTTTTTTCAGTTTTAAAAAAAAATCCGGAAATGTCTTAATTTCTCCTTCATTTTTGAAGGATAAGTTTTCCAGCTATATATTTCTCAATTGACAGGTTTCTTCATTATTTTAAATATATAATCCACTGCCTACTGGCCTTCAAGGTTTCTGCCGAGAAATCAGCTGCTAATGTTATCTGGATCCCTATCTGTGAGAGTTGCTCTTCTCTCTGAGTTTTCAACATTCTCCCATTATCTTTTTTTTGTTTGTTTTTGAGACAAATAATTGTACATATTCATGGGATACAGAGTGATATTTTGATACATGTATACAATGCCCAATGATCAAATAAGGATAATTAGCATATCCATCACCTCAAATATTTGTCATTTATTTGTATTGTGAACAGTCAACATTCTTTCTTCTAGTTTTTTAAATTTATAAACATTTAAATTTTATTACAGAAATTTAAATTTTTTGATTCTGAAAAAGTCATATATGTATGCAACATTTTTTATCATTTATTTATATATTTATGCATCTTTCCTTTTAGTTTTGACAGAGATTTTCTATTTTATCATTATTTCAAAAGAACTCTTACCTGTATTTATTTATCAAGTATATTTCCCTTGTTTTTTCCTAGTATATTAATTTATTTACTTATCTTCTAAAAATCCTCCATATAATCTGTTTATTTTGTTTCCTTTCTATAATTTCTTCAATAATTAGTTCTGTTCTATTTTCCATTAAAATATTTAAATCTTGTATGAATTTTTGTCAGATTAGAAATTTAGGGCGTTTCTTAATTTCTCTATACTCTAGCTTTTGACTTTTTTTTTCTGACCTAAGAGGTATTTAGAGCACATTTTAGATTTTTTATTTTGACTAATCATTTAAAATGTATACTAATCTTCAATTTAAATAAAAAACTGGTCTATAGTGACAAAAATTACAAATGAGCCTAACTAATAAATTATCAGCTGTGTTTATATGTATAAGCATGCACAGATTTTGGTAAATATGTACATAGTATATTGGTGAGCTTATTTTTATCATTCTTAACTCATTGTGTAGTCTAAACGTTGGGGAAAAAATAAAATACAATAATCAGATGGTGTGAATAAGAAAATTGTTCTAATGTTTGTAAACCAAGCAACTGTTTTAACTGCTCCCCTCTTCCTGATTGACTTCTAAAAGGGATTGATCCATATTGGGTCCTATCATATACGTCACGGTATAACATCTCCAGCTATAAAATGGAAATTTGAGAATAACTTTGCTGCTACTCAGATACATTTTATTTCAAAAACATACACTAAGGTGTTGCTGTTGGATCTTTCCAAAAACATATTCACACTGAACTTTCAATCACACTGAGCCATATTTGAACAATCTTTCAAGGTCAGCTCTGGCATAAGCTAACATTATACCATTTAACTCAGAAATTTCTTTAGTATTTGATTAATGGGTTTATGTTTGATATGTAATGTAATTTTCTAATGCTAAATCAAGTGGTAATTTTGTTAGTCAAGTTGATTTAGTGGCTTGGGAAGAAAGCTTTTAATGTTCCCCTAATTTTTCTTACCTTTGACATGATCCTTCACATGTCTTATTTTGCTTAGTGATTTTTCTTTTTTTTTTTTTTTTTTGAGACAGGGTCTTACTCTACCACCCAGGCTTGAGTGCAGTGGTGCAATCACAGCTCATTGCAGCCTTGACCTCCCAGACTCAAGCTATTCTTCCACCTCAGCCTCCCAAGTAGCTGGTACTACAGGCACATGCCACCAAACTTGGCTAATTTTTGTATTTTTTGTAGAGACAGAGTTTTGCCAAATTCTCAGGCTGGTCTGGAATTTCTTGGCTCAAGTAATCCTGCCTTGGCCTCCCAACATGCTGATATTACAGACATAAGCCACAGTACCTGGCCAGTTTTCTTTTTAAAAAAATCTATTGGTTATTAATTTGAAGCCTTCCTTTTCATAGCTGTGCTCCTTAATTGGGAGCAAACATGAATGGACCACAACTTAGCCAATTTTCTATATACGATCTTTGCCATCCTAATTTAAAGGAATATTAATTCTTTCTTTTCCTCTTTCATTCCACAAACCTGTATTGACTACATCTAAGTTCTAAATGGTGCACTGGATGTTGAAAAAGTTGATGATGAGCAAGAACAAAATTCCTGCTTTCAGGAGACTTACAGTTCAATATGGGAAATATAATTTGTTAAAATATAAAAGTGCAATTGTGTTACATGCTGTACGAAGTACATGTTGACATGTGAGCATATAATAAATGGGCTGGAGGCCAGAGGATTGCCAAAGAGAATGGGCCTCCTGCTGAGATGAAAAGTTGAGCAGGGATTAGTTGGCAAAAGTGGAGGGACGATCCTTTCTAGGCAGGAGGAAGAACATGTACAGAATCTCTGAGGTGTGATGCGACAAAGTCTATATAAAAAACTGAAGAAAGGTCTAATGTGGCTTAAATACAGAAGCTAGTAGGAGAGGAGTCGAAAAGAGGCTGGAGAAGTAGAAAGTGTCTGCATTCTGCAGGAACTTATATTGTATAAAAAGAATTTCTCTTTATTCTAAGTGCAATGTGAAGCCAATGAAGTGCTTTAAACAGGTGATGTGATTTGATTGAATTTATTACTTCACTTAACAAATATTCATTACATGCCCACTGTTTGTCAGATATTGCTGTAGCCCCTGGTGATACAGTAGGGAATAAAACAGGCAAAAATCCCTGTCCTCTTGCAGCTTATAATGGACTGCAATGTTTAATATGTCAGAGGAGGTCCACGGAGGAGTGACTTCTAAGCAAGAATCTGAAAAAAATGAGGATATCTAAGGAGGGAACAAATGGTTCAAAAGCCCTATAATTGCAAGCAGGCATGATGAAGCAATTGCAGTTGTCCTGACTCTCAACACCGTGGAACTCAAAGGAGATGGAAAGATTCCTTCTCTCCCTCATATATTTTCTCTCTTTCTGTCTATATATATAGAATATGAGACATTTCCCTAATCATTATGTGTAATTACAATTACATATATATATGTAATTGTAATTACACATAATGATTAGGGAAATGTCTCATATTCTTCTACTCAGAAATAAGCAATATAGCAATTACTGTTTTTTACATTTTACAGTTACAGTTTCAGAGAAAGTTTGATATTTATCTAAAATTTTTCAATGTATGAACTTTTTCATTTGACAAACCATAATTGTACATATTCTTGGGATACAGAGTGATATTTTCTTTACATGTATAGAATGTGTAGTGATCAAATCAGGGTAATTTCCACTAATTTAAAATGCCACCTTTATGTTATTGTAATTTATATATATACTATATATACACACACACACATATATATATACATGTCCACATACAGTGTGTGTGTGCACATGTACACACATGCATATGTGTATAGAATGCCCAGTATAAGCAATGTGCACAAATAAAATTAGCTAACAGAGATAGTATAGAGTGAGAGGAGAGGCAGATTAATCTTTGAGGAAAAGCACAATTTTATAGCTGAATGGAGAAAGCTGAGGTGGTTTCTAAGATGGAGAATAAGACGAAAAATGTAAGTACGTTGTTTGACTGAATTCAAGAAAGAAGGGTAAAAGAGAAGAAAGTAGTGGTCTTATCATTAAATGCCACAGAGAGGTAAAGATAAAGACAACATATTGTTTTGGGTTTAGTAATTTAAGGGTGACCAAATTCCGTTTTGGAGGAGGAACAGATTCCATGTCCACTAGAATGGAATGAACAAGAAATGGAGGAGGAAAATAGGTAGTTTTTCAAAAGTTTTCAAAAATATGAAAAGAAGAAATGAAGTGGTACTTGGAAGAGATTGTTGAAATGGGAGAGACTATGGTGGCTTGTTTAGAAGCAGTTGAGATAGATCCAATTGAGATAGAGATATTGACTATATAAACAAAAGAATGACAAATTAATAGTGTAATGGATAACTTGACTTTGGCAAATATTGTGAATTTTTGTGAAAGTACAACTAAAAGGCAATGTCACTCCAATAATCACCAGAGTAATCAATTTGCTTATTGCTGTCCCTTTAAATATAGTTCTCTGGTATCAACTAACATGTTTTTAACTAATGATGCTTCTTAAAGAAAAGGGAAAAGACCTTTTTCTTTCTTTCAGTCTTCAATGATTCACTGCTTCATCTCGCTCCACCAAAGATAAATGAAATCTACATCTCTTATACATTAACAATGCATGACAATTTACAAATAGCTAAATTTTTGGAGCTAACTTTAAGTACCTGAATGGAATTTAATCAACCCACTAATCTCCTTCTCACTTCTCAGTTATTTATCAAGTTTATGTCAAGGGACAAGGAAAAATTATCCAAACATTGTTTAAAACAATCATCATTAATTAGTAACACTTATCCAGGGGGGTTTTTAACCTTTCCCCCACTCAAGGATTATTCTAATGTCAGAGTAGAATAAAAAATAAGTGCAGCGATGCTGACTCTTCCAAGCTTAACATTTCTCACAAGTCAATTAGCTTTGTACTGGGAGGAGGGCGTGAAGGGCTGCTTGCGGTAGTTGTGTAGCAGCAGCACAATGGCCGCAGACAAGGAAAACAGTTTCTAGGAATTCCTCGTATATAATTTTATATTTTTGACAAGATTAATGACCCATGCTCCCTTCCTCTCCATTTCTTTTTTTGGAATTCTGTTGGTATGTAGTTACTATATTTTATTAAAGGAAATTAGCCTTATCTCTTATTATATTTTATTAAAGAAAATTATTATATTATTCCTTTATATTTTTATTAAAGGATTTTATTATTATTAAAGGAAATTAGCCTTATCTCTTATTATATTTTTTATGACCTTCAAAGTAGTGTCTCTGCTTAAAAGTGTACCCTGGCCGGGCGTGGTGGCTCACACCTGTAATTCCAGCACTTTGGGAGGCCGAGGCGGGTGGATCACGAGGTCAGGAGATCGAGACCATCCTGGCTAACACGGTGAAACCCCGTCTGTACTAAAAATACAAAAAATTAGCAGGGCATAGTGGTGGGCGCCTGTAGTCCCAGCTACTCAGGAGGCTCAGGCAGGAGAATGGCATGAACCCGGGAGACGGAGCTTGCGGTGAGCTGAGATCGCACCGCTGCACTCCAGCCTGGGCGACAGAGCAAGACTCCGTCTCAAAAAAAAAAAAAGTATACCCTGAGGCACACATCAAGCGACATGTAGAGTTCATAAATTCTGGCCAAATGGTCATACCTCAAACCTCATCAGCAGTAAGGCTCTTTACTTGCACTGACAAATATGAACGCTGGGGAATTTGGAAATGATATATAATATATAATATTATATATATAATAGATATATAATATATAATATATATAATACATATATAATATTATATATGTAATAGATATACAATATATAATATATAATAGATATATAATATTATATATAATAGATATATAATATTATATATAATAGATATATAATATATAACTTTCCATGTGATTTTCCTCTTAATTTTTTTCTAGCTGATCCATATGAATTCCTCTTATTAAGAAAAATAAAGCATCCAGGATTCAATGAAGAACTGACTATCACCTTGTTAATCATTCAGAAACATGTTGCAGGCTTAAGCCATTTTTGATATAGATACTGAAACAATTACTTGCTAAGAGCAAACTTGAAGGTATGGATAAGGCCCTGAGTCATCTTCCTGAGCTGAATGATAGTTAAGCTGAATGTACGTATAAAATATGATTTTCTAACCACTTGCTCGCCAACAAGGAAAACTTTTAAGTAGAGCAGAACCTGAATAGACAAGACATTTCTTTCTTTTGGTAGAAAATGATTTACCATCACTGTGTAGTTAATTGTAGACTAGGTAATTTTAACTTTGTGATTTATTGCCGGAGACATTTTCTTCTGTACTGTAAAGTGTGTGTCAAAAAAAAAAAATAGCGATTTTGGAGGATTAGGGGACTTTGATAAATTGCCTGCAATTCTGGCAGTATGAACTGCATATTAATTTCTCTCTTTCAAGAACATTTTTATTTATTAATTCCTTACAAAAACTCCCTAAACTTTGGAACAGCTCTCAATTGCCTGTATTCTTTTTTTTCTTATTATGGTACTCTTCTAGAGATTTGGCTTGCATCTGTGAATAAGCCAGGACATCTTCAGAAATTGTCTGATTAAAAACACCACCAATGGAGTTTCATTAAATTTGTATTGCTCTGACTAGTGAAACATACACATCTATGTTGCTGAGGATATTTTACTGCAGTTCAAGTTGTAATAATAGCTCTGTTTAAGATCCGTCAGTCACTTGAATCTTCTCTAAGGCTTTGTATGTTAGAAGTTAATTTGCTTTCTTACAAGGCCACATTCTATCTTGTAACTAAACAACTGAATTTTATGTCTTAGCGTAGATGGTTTATTACTTTCTGGTTTTTCTTTAGTAAGAATCCTATAAAAACACTAGTATTTTTCTCTGAGTTTAAAATTCAATACATGCCTACTGATATGGTTAGGCTTTGTATCCCCACCTGAATCTCGTCTTGAATTGTAATCCCCATAGCCCCCATAATCCCCACAGGTCAAGGGAGAGACCAGGTGGAGGTAATTGAATCATGGGGGCAGTTTCCCCTGTGCTGTTCTTGTGATAGTGAGTTCTCACGAGATTTGATGGTTTTATAAGGGATTCTTTCCCCTTTGCTCGGCACTTCTTCATGCTGCCTTGCGAAGAAGCTGGCTTGCTTCCTCTTTGTCTTCCGCCATGATTGTAGATTTCCTGAGGCCTCCCAAGCTGTGCTGAACTGTGAGCCAATTAAACTTCTTTCCTTTATAAATTACCCAGTCTTGGGCAGTTCTTTATAGCAGTATGAAAATAGAAAAATACACCTACTATGTAAAACTTAAAATACAAAAAAACAAAACATTATCTCACTAACATAGGAGCTAATATTTTGGTGTACTTTGTTTAGTATTTTATATTAAAAATATGTACATATATATTTATATATAATTAAGAACATGTATGTACAATCGTGCATACATCATGTACATACATCTACTTAAGAAAATAGCTATGTAATATACCATTACTCAACTAGATTATAATTTTTTCTCCATTTCTTTATTGTAATTTATCATTTTCTACTTTTTTGTTTTCTCATTTTTATTGCATAATATTTAATTATGCAAAAAATACATTAAATACATTGAAAATATATAGTGTAGCTATAAGAATAAAGAACGATGGTAAAACAAATGCTAATACCCACTACCTGACTTAAAGAATATGATATTATTTTTTTCCAATTGAAATTCCCTCAACTACTCAGAATTACTGCTATCCCTCTTATCCTTTCATTAATTTTCTTCTAGTTTTCTCACATGTGAATCTATTTCTAAATACATTTCTTTATTTTGCAAGTTTTTGGACTTCATATAAATGTAACCATATTGTATATATTCTTCTTCAGCTTCTTAGTTTTTCACTAAACAATATGTTTTGCTGATACTTACATTCATATGTACAGTAATAGTTGATTTATTTTAATGGCTATATATTATTCCATTGTTAGAATACACCAGGATTTATTTTTACTTATTTTTTTTGCTGGAAAATTGGGTGTCTTTTTTATTTTTTGATATAACAAACAATGTTGTAATCATTTTGTATTTACTTCCTAGTCCACTCCTGTAAGTTTCTCTTGAGTACATACTAGCAATGAATATGCTGAGTCACTGCATATACATACTCACAACTTTATTCTATAATGTAATATTCTATAAAGTAGCTGTATCAGTTTATACTTTAACCAGTAATGGACAAGATTTTCTGTTACTTCCCATCTTTGTTAATTATTACTTTTAGACTCTAACTTTTATCAGGCTCATGGATGTAAAAAGCATCTCAGGGTGGTTTTAATTTGCATTTATCTGCTCATCTATGAAGATGAGCTTCTTTTCATATAATTATGAGTCATTATTTTTGTTTTGCCTTCTTTTGTTTATGCATTTTGCTTGTTCTATGTCTTATTTTTCCTGTTGATTTTTGGGAGTTCATATATATTCTAAATGTATATTTATTCACTTATATATATGTTGTAAATATTACAGTTTATGATTTGTCACCTTATGATATCTTCCAAATAGAGAAGCTTTATATTTTGATGTAGTCATATGTTCATTTTTCCTCCTTAATGTTTGTTTTTCTTGGTTCTATGACCTACCAAAAGTAACAAAAATTCTCATTTATTTTTAATCTAAATGTTTTAAGTATTTTCCTGGAATTCACCTTGAATTGATTTCTATTGGAGATAGGTATCCAATCTAATTTGCCTCATATGGATAACCACTTGTTCTATTACTGCTGTAACAAATTTCTACAAACTAAGTGACCTAAAATAACACAAACTTGTCATCTTACAGTGTACACAAGTCAGAAATCAGGCATGAATTTTAGTGAACTAAAATCAAGTTGTCGACAGGCATGTTTCTTTATGGTGGCTAGGGTAGAATCCATATCCTGGCCTTTTCTATCTTCTAGAGAACATCAGCATTCCTTTTCTCATTGCCTCTCCTCTCTCTTTTTAAAGCTGGCAATGTCACATTTCTCTGACCATTCTTTCATTGTCACATCTCTCTCTGGACTCAGCTAAGAAAGGTTCTCCATTTTTAAGAACTCATGTGATTAGACTGGGCCCATCTGGGTAACCCAGGAAGATCTCTCCATCTCGGTTTGCATCCTTAATCACATCTGATAAGCCTTTATTGCATTCAGTGTAACATATTCACAGGTTCCAGGGTTAGGCATGGGCATCTTTGAGGGCCATTATTCTCCCTACCACATTATTTGCCTAGCATCTTTCATTACATTGTCCATCTATTTACTTACTGATTTCTAATGACATCCAAATCAGTTACAACATTTTATGTAAGCATTGTTTTTATTTTTATGTTATTCCACTAGTCTATTTTTCTACTCATGAATTATGGTACATGAGTTTATTTTTGCAACTTTAAGCTCAATAACATGTTTTAAGATTTCCTCAACTTTCTTTTTGCGCTTCTTCAGAAGTTGACTCTTTTGGCCCTTTGGTCTTCTATACACATTTTAGAAATGCTTTGTTGAGGACTAAGAGGAATGCTAAGATTTTGATAGGAATTTCATTGAATTTTGAGTATATTGGCATGCTACAATGGTTAGTGCTTTATACATGAAAATAATATATCCCTTCCTCTTTTCCTAGTATCATGAGATGTTTGTTAGGCAGACATGAATATTGAGTTGTATCAAATGTGGTTTTCTGCATTATTGTGGTGGTGATGTGATTTAGCTCCTTTAATTAGTTAATGTAATGAATTACATTTGTAGATTGCTCTAACTATTGAAACAAGCTTGAATTTCTGGAATAAGCCCAATGTGATATTTATTCAACAAATATTCATTGAGTATACCTAGTATGTAACATGCTTTAAGAATACACCAGTGAACCAAACAGAAATATCTGACATTACAGAACTTAACATTCCAGTATTTGGAGACAGATGATAAAAAAGTGAACATGTATATTTACAGTTTGTCAAGGAATGATAAATGAAGACTCTTAAAGTAGATGGGGAATTGGGAGTGAAGTCTGTAATTTAAATAGGGTGGGCAGGAAAGCTTCACAGAGAATGGGACATTTAAGAATAGACTTGAAGGACAGGCAAGAGCAATCTCTATGTTTATATGGGAGAAAAGGTTCCAGGCAGATGCAGTAACAATGGCAAATATCCTGAAGTAGGATCATGCTGGAGTTTTTGTGGAGCAGCAAGGAGGCTAGTGTGACTGCCACAGAATCACCCAAGGGAAGATGAGAAGATCAGACCAGACCAGCACTTGGGCATCTAATGGGAAAAGTTTCTCAAGCCATCATAAAAATTTCACTTTTACTATAAATACTATGAGAAACCATGGGATGTTTTACAGTAAGAAAGGTGGCATAATATGTTACATGTTTTAAACAAACTCTATAGCTTCTGAGTTGAAATAGATTGTAGGGGCTCATGGCAGAAGCAGAGGGAACATTTAGGAGACTACTGTAAAGAATATCATGAAAAGAACAAACAACGCTATGTAACATGCTTAAATGGACTGAAGAAGATGTATAAAATCAAAATGATGTTACCTTCACACCTTGAATCAGTACGATAAACCCCCCTCCCCAATCACAAAAGAAAAACTAAACACAAAAACCAGGCTTTGGTTGCTCAGACAATTTTACAGGTGAGTTCTAGCAAACATGCAAAGAACGTTTAATTGCACTGTTACAGAAATTCTTCTGGAGACAAGAAAATAAGACACATCACCCAACCAATTTCATAATAACAATGTCAATGTATAATAACAGAAAAAGTGGATCTCCAAAGAAATAAATTTATTTGGAAATAAACAAGGATTATAATCTGAGATATTTGTGCTATGATCAATCATAGGTGCATCCCAAGAGGTTGAGGTAAGGAAAATATGTAAAGACAAAAAGAAGTCCATGCAAGCTGTTTTGAAACAAACATCATTGGTCACAGGGTCTGATGCAGGAGCTGGTGTTAACTTACTGGCAGAAACAGCCATTGCTAGGCAAGTGTTCTTGTGAGGGTGGCTTATCTGAAATGCTGCAGTCTTGAGGAATTTTTTATGATAGGTCCTATTATAAAACACCTACAGGATGAGCTGGACAAACAGAGTGTGCTGGGTGGGCAGAAATTTCTTGTGAGTTTATAGAAAGTCCTTGTGATAGTGCTTATCGTGGACAGACACACAAGATCCCCTTTTTCATGACCCGGCTCCACTTTGCTTTGGGTCTGATGTAAGTGACTTTGCCTTGTCATTGGCAACTTTCACTGTAGTATAATCTGCACATCAAAGTTACCTAACAATAGTACAAAGAAAGAAAATTAAAGGTATATCTCTTTCAAAAATATAAACCCCAAAATTGTTAGGAAATTGTAGTGAGTATAAAAGATAATTCATTATAATAAACATCTCAAGCTTCACAGAATTCTGACCTTTGCTACACTCTCATCCACAATCTTTTCTCCTAGTAAATGGCAGCTCCTTCTGTTAAGTTGCTGAGGCTTCTTATTGCTTTTTTCTTCAAATAACAGTCAGAACTGAACAACTGTAATCATCCTAGTCCATACAATTGTTATATTTTCATTTAAAGAAGATCAATGTGTGATTCTTTTTTTATATATTTCTGGACAATTCTTTATATTTTAATAGTAGTCAGAATTTGATCAGGAAAACAGAAGACATCCTATGTATTATAATGATAAAAGTTTAATATTAATTAGGGCCTTATGCTATTATTGGAAGAGCTTGGTGAATAGATATTAGAAAAGCAGCTAGACAAAATCAGAAGAGGTCTGTTTTATATCAGAGATCTTAGCCTGACAGTCTAGAGTGTGGGCACAGAACCCAAGCTTATAGGAATTTCTGAAAGGTCTGTAAATCTTATCCAGATGGACAGTGGGAGCTCATAAAGAATTCTGCGAGCCATCACATCTGTCAAACCTGCTATGTCTAATCCTTAAGCCTGCTTTATTTGAAGACCTCCTCTTCACTCCTCATTTCCAGCTCTCATGAGTTTCTTTCATAGGCAAACCCAGACCTGGAACAATGTGCCTGAAGACTTCGGGTGACACAGTACCCAGACTTAAATAGGAGGGGAGCCATGGTGGAAGTGGCCATCCAGCACAATTTTCTTGGTCTTTACTCATAGTTTTGATTCCTTAAAAAAATTAACCACATTAAAATATGTGTTTCATAATCTACATCTAATAATACAAATATTTAAAGTCTTTTCAAGTTTGAATACGCTACCCATGTTGCTGCTACCCCCATTTTGTGTGTGTGATTTTTGTGTGTGTGTTAGAAGCTCATGACCTTTGAAACCTGCTCTTATGAGCTTGCTTTGATGATTTATTTGTCCAGAGAGGATTTTTTTTCCTACCTAGCATTTTGGACTGCTATCAACCTGAGACCACTTTGAATTAAATTCTCAGCTTGCAAATTTGGAAGCCACACAGATTGTGTGAGTTCAGGCTGAAACCTGTTTGAGAGCTGGATTCTGGCTATAAACTCCACAGGGAACATTTTCTCTCTCCACTCAGAGCTGAGACCATAGGGAAATTTATTTGCTAGCTCACTTTGAAGGTTTATTTTATTTATTTTTTAAATTTCTAGTACACGTGCTCACTGAAGGTGTAATACTTATGTGAGAATCTCAAAATCAGTTGTGTTCTTTGTATGACCCTGGTTTTGTTTCCTCCTGCTCTCTTACTTTCAGTGTGTCTCAGTATGTCTGCTCAATATGTCATCTTAAATTTCAACTGAGGGTGGATCTTCTTCCCAGCTCACTCACATGGTTCTTAGCTAGATTCAGTTTCTCTCCATTTGTAGGACTGAGGACCTCAGTTCTTCACTTAGGGTTGGCTACAGGTAATCATCAATTTCTTGTAACAGGACTTACACTGGGCCACTGACAGCATGCCAGTTGGCTTCATTCAAATGAGAGGGCAAGAGAAAGAGAGAGAGGGAGAGGGCACAAGAAGAAATTCACAGTATCTTATAATCTAATCTCAGAAGTGGCATCTCATTTCTTTTGTTCTATTCTATTCAATAGAAACAAGTACCTGGGACCAGCTTACATGATAGGAAAGAGATTATATAAGGGTATAAATACCAAGAGGTAGAGATCATCAAGAGCCATTCTGGTAGCAGCCACAATATCTTATCCAGAATATTTCTTATTCAGGCCTTCAAATGTGCTGTCTTTTCTGGTCTAATGGAAATGAACCTTCCTTCCATACAATTTCTTCTCCTAAATTGTACTCTGGCTCTCTTATCATATACAAATGTCTATGTTAGGTATTTGTGTCTGTCTTGATTCTTGGTAGGCTTTTAAACTCTGTGAATGTTGGACTGTGATGTAGACATCATTTCACCGCACACTCTGTAACCACCAAACCTTAGCAGCTTATTCAGTAAGCACATACTTGGCTCTTAATGAGTATTGCTTAAATTGATGAATTGAATTAGTATTTTACCTTCTCTGTTGCTTAGCTAAGCAGAAGAATTTGTCATTTTTTTAATTTAGTGACTGGTTCTATTAAAAGTTACCTTTGTCTATATCATTTTGTTATACTAAAGCACAAATGTATAAGGTCAAAAAACATTCTCAAGATTTTGTTTAAACCACAGCCCTCAGTTGTGTATATTTATCTCTTGTTTTCATATGCAAGATTTCTCCTGAAATGGGCAACAATTACAAGAGTTTTTTTCCTCTTCTGAACTAAGAAAATAAATATTTAATTCACAAGTTTAGAAAAGTGAACCTGAAAAATCACAGGGCTAGGTGGGTTATGAGGCCCACTGGTACATGATAGTGTTGAATGTGGATTAGAATGAACTCCGTGGATTAGAATCTCAGACCATAGGCAAACATTTACTTGTTTTAGAATAAGCACATTTGAGTCTGCAATAAGTATTACTATTTTTAAGTTGAAAATGTAATTGGTTTCTAATAATAACCATATTGGCTAGCATTATTTCAATCGTGTTTAATGTTTTCCAATGTCATTTCATGTCAGATATCTCTCTTGATTCTTAGTAACAATTTGGACAAGACAGCAAATGCTATTGTCCAAGTTTTCTAAAGAAGAATCTGAAGTGAAATGACATCAAGAGACCTATCAAGACCTGTATCCAGGAAAAGGTAAATCTGAGCTGAAATTGTAGCCCTTGTAAATTACCTACGTGACATACCAGATAGTGTTCATGATCCATTCAGTACTCTGTTCTAAAAATGAGACAATATCCATTTATTCACTTGTTCATTTATTTAGTGCTTGTTCAGCCCTTACTGCATATTCCAGGCACTATTCTGACTGTGGCAGGAGTGAACAAACAGGCATGGTTCTTACTTGCATGTAATTACAGTCTTATAGTGAAAACAAGTGTTAAACAACAAAATCTCCCAATTATTTTAAAATTATAAACTTGATTCGATACTATGTGGCCATATAATTGTTCCTAATTTGGTTGGAGAAGGGAGGCAGTTAGGGAAGCCTTCCCTGAGTTAGTGCCATTTAACCTGAATTATGATAGACGATAAGTAATTTGTCAGGGGAAAAATACTCCAGGAATAAAGAACAGGTACAAAGGTCAGGTTCTGGGAAGAGCTTGTCTTGGTCCAGGAGCTAAAAAATGTTAGAGTGGCTGGATCTGGGAAAGAGACAAAGAGTTATTAAATGAGGCAGCAGGCTTCAGCAGGTGCCACATTGCTCAGGGCCTTGTAGGCCATGCTAAGGATTTGGGATGTTAATGTCAGTACAAACAATTGAGTCGTAAGCAGAAAGTAAAAGCATGATTCCATCAAATGTTATTCTCTAAACAGTAATTTTATAAATACAGGTTAAATGTGTGTGGTCCCAGCTACTCAGGAGGTCCCAGCTACTCAGTATTCCTTTTCAACAAATATTAGGTGCCTACTATTAGCCAGGTACAGCCCTTAGCTACTTTGAATGAAGCATATATTACAAACTGGCAGAATTTCTTAAACAAAGAATCTAAAGTTGTTTATACACCATAATCTCGGTATTTTATAAATTTCTTGAAATTATTTTTATGTACACTGCTTTGCAGAATTTTAACTGGCTTTGAAATAAACAATGACAATAGTCCTCCATGTTACTAGTTTCAAATTTTCCCAATACCTACTAAGACATTACTTAATCCACAGATTTACTGTCAATAGTTTGTATCAAATTGTGATAACATATTTGAAGTTAATATTTCAAATTAAAGCAAAATCACAAATTTATACTTTATATTATGAATGAGATTCACAAAAGGAGCATGATAATATATTCTGTTGTCATCACATACAAAATAATAACATATAGAGTATGAATCAATAATTTTTCAAATACAAAGCTATTACAATTAGGAATACAAAGAAATCATAATTAGGAATACTTCTACAATATTAACACACAATAGTGGTAACACTTGCAAAATGATGGTGGTGGTTTTTTTTTTTTTTTTTTCCCCGACAGAGTCTTGCTCTTGTTGCCCAGGCTGGAGTGCAATGGCGTGATTTTGGCTCACTGTAAACTCCACCTCCTGGGTTCAAGCGATTCTCCTGCCTCAGCCTCCCTAGTAGCTGGTATTACAGGTGCCTGCCACCACACCCAGCTAATTTTTGTATTTTTAGTAGAGATGGGGGTTTCACCATGTTGGCCAGCCTGGTCCCGAACTCCTGACCTTAGGTGATCCACCAGCATCGGCCTCCCAAAGTGCTGGGATTACAGGTGTGAGCCACTGCGTCCAGCCAGTGGTGGGTCTCATATCTCAATGTGGACTTTTACTAACTCCCGATGCCTCATTTTCCTCATCAGTTGAAAGGAATGAATGAAAGATTTGTGTTTTTCATATTACCAGGTAGATGATAAGAAGATTTTAATTTTCTTTTTTTTTTAACTTTTATTTTAAGTTTAGGGGCATTTGTTACATAGGTAGACTGGTGTCACAGGGGTTTATTGTACAGATTATTTCATCATCCAGGTATTAAACCTAGTACCCAATAGTTATCTTTTCTGCTTCTCTTCCTTTTCTCACCCTCCACCCTCAAGTAGACCCCAGTGTCTGTTTTATTCTTTGTGTTCATTAGTTCTCATCATTTAGCTCCCACTTATAACTGAGAGTATGCTGTATTTGGTTTTCTGTTCCTGCATTAGTTTGCTAAGGATAATAGAAGGTCCATCCACATTCCAGCAAAAGACATGATATCATTTTTTAATGGCGGCATAGTATTCCATGGTGTATATGTACAGCCTGCATATAAACTGTGGGCTAAAGACCTTCACCAGAGCAGTCTGACAGAACCTCTCTGAAAGACTTCTCCTAGGCTGTAATCCTCAGTCTCTTGTTCTCAGACCCCTAAATAAATCTAACTTTAATTTCTTAAAAGCTTAATTTTTTTCTTTAGTTGACACCAAAAATCTCCCCAGCCAGATCCACAAACTTTTTCGGTATTTTTCCTATTTTTTATATCATTCCAGGCAAGCGTTTTCTAACTCTCCCATCAGAATATGACTTTGGTGCCTTTTCCTCAGCCTCCACTGATGATTTTTTCTCATTATCCTTAAAGCCCTTTCCAGTAGACTTCTTAAGCTCTTTCAAGTTTTCAGTCTCCTTAAGGACCATTCAGTGTTTACTGTCAGTTCCCAGAATGCTTTTACAGGTTTTGCTATCATTTTCCTTGAAGTCTGTTCACTTTTCACTAACAGTCTTTGTGAAATCCTTCTGGCTTCTATCCATTGTCTGATTCCAAAGCCAATGCCACATAGTTTAAGTTTATATTATATTAGAGTGACATCTTATTCCACGTACCACAAACCACCTCAAAACTTCGCAGCTTAAAACAACAAACTTAAAAAAAATTGTGGACTTGTATTAGTGCAAGCAGGGCTTAGCTACATGATTCTGCTCCGTGTGGTATTAACTGTAGCCATCTGTGGTATTCAGCTGGCAGCTGGGTAGTCTGGAGAGTTGAAGGTGGCTTCAGTGATGTGCCTGTTTTATTAGTGGATTGGATGAAATGTTGTGGTAAGGTGGGCCTCTCTTGCTCTCCGTGTAGTTTGAGAGCCTGTCTACATGATCTATTCAGCAGCAATATGGTTTGGCTGTGTCCCCACCCAAATCTCATCTTGAATTGTAGCTCCCATAATTTCCGTGTCTTGTGGGAGGGATCCAACGGGAGATAACTGAATCACAGGAGTATTTCCCCCATACTGTTCTCGTGGTCTTGAATAAGTCTCACAAGAGCTGATGATTTTATAAGGGGGTTCCCCTTTCACTCAGCTCTCATTCTGTCTTGTCTGCCATCATGTAGAGATGTGCCTTTTGCCTTCCACCATGATTGTGAGGCCTCCCCATCCACCTGGAAATGTGAGTCCATTAAGTGTCTTTTTCTTCATAAATCACTCAGTCTCAGGTATGTCTTTATCAGCAGCATGAAAACAGACTAATACAGTACATTGGTACTGGTAGAGTGGGGTGCTGTTGTAAAGATAACCCAAAAATGTGGAAGCGACTTTGGAACTGGGTAACAGGCAGGGGTTGAAACAGTTTGGAGGGCTCAGAAAACAACAGGAAAATGTGGGAAAGTTTGGAACTTCCTAGAGACTTGTTGAATGGCTTTGACTAAAATGTCAAATAATGATATAGACAATGAAATCCAGGCTGAGATGGTCTCAGATGGAGATGAGGAACTCAATGGGAACTGGAGTAAAGGTGTCTCTTGCTATCGAGAGAGACTGGCAGCATTTTGTCCCTGCCCTAGAGATTTGTGGAACTTTGAACTTGAGGGAGATGAGTTAGGGTATCTGGCAGAAGAAATTTCTAAGCAGCAAATCATTCAAGAGTGACTTGGGTGTGTTAAAAGCACTCAGTTTTAACAGGAAAACAGAGCATAAACGTTCAGAAAATTTGTAGCATGACACTGTGATAGAAAAGAAAAATCCATTTTCTGAGGAGAAATTCAAGCTGGCTGCAGAAATTTGCATAAGTAACAAGGAGCCAAATGTTAATCGCTAAGTCTTCAGGCCATGTCAGAGATCTTTGTGGCAGCCCCTTCCATCACACACCCAGAGGCCTAGGAGGAAAAAATGGTTTCATAGGCTGGGCCCAGGGCCCCTCTGCTGTTTGCCTGTGTACAGCCTAGGGACTTGGTGCTCTGTGTCCCAGCTGCTCCAGCCACAGCTAAAAGGGGTCAAGGTACAGCTCAGGCCATGGCTTCAGAGGGTGCAAGCCTCAAGCTTTGGCAGCTTCCATGTGGTGTTGAGCCTGTGGATTCACAGAAGTCCAGAATCGAGGTATGGGAACCTCCATCTAGATTTCAGAGAATGTATGGAAATGCCTGGATCTCCAGACAGAAGTTTGCTGCAGGGGTGAGGTCTTCATGGAGAACCTCTGCTAAGGCAGTGGGGAATGGAAATGTGGGGTTGAAGCCCCCAACACAGAGTCCCCACTAGGGTACTGCCTAGTGGAGCTATGAGAAGAGGGCTGCTGTCCTCCAGACCCCGGAATGGTAGATCCACCGACAGCTTGCACTGTGTGCCTGGAAAAGCTGCATACAATGCCAGCCTGTGAAAGCAACCGGGAGGAAGGCTCTCCCCTGCAAAACCACAGGGGTGGAGCTGCCTGAGACCATGGGAACCCACCACTTGCATGAGTATGACCTGGATGTGAGACATAGAGTCAAAGGAGATCATTTTGGAGCTTTAAGATTTGACTGTCCCACTGGATTTCGGACTTGCTTGGAGCCTTTAGTCCCTTTGTTTTGGGTAAATTTTACCATTTGGAATGGCTGCATTTACCCAATGCCTGTACTCCTATCTTATCTAGAAAATAACTAAATTGCTTTTGATTTTACAGGTTTATATGTGGAAGAGACTTGCCCTGTCTCAGGTGAGACTTTGGACTGCCAACTTTTGAGTTAATGCTGAAGTGAGTTAAGACTTTTGGGGACTATTGGGAAGGCATGATTGGTTTTGAAATGTGAGGACATGAGATTTGGGAGGTGCCAGAGGCAGAATGAGGTGGTTTGGCTGTCCCCTTTCCCAAATCTCATCTTGAATTGTAGCTCCCATAATTCCCATGTGTTGTGGAGGGACCTGGTGAGAGATAATTGAATGATGGGGTGGCTCCCCCATACTGTTCTTATGGTCGTGAATAAGTCTCATGAGAGCTGATGACTTTACAAGGGGCTTCCCCTTTCACTCAGCTCTCATTGTCTCTTGTCTGCTCCCATGTAATGCATACTTTTCACCTTCTGCCATGATTGTGAGGCCTCCCCATCCACATGGAACTGTGATTCCATGAAACTCTTTTTATTCATAAATTACCCGGTCTTGGATATGTCTTTATCAGCAGCATGAAAATGGACTAATGCAAGCAGAATAAGCAGAATTCTTCGATACTGACTCAGCACCCACACACGTTGGTTCCAAGATGTAGAAATGGAAGCTTCAAGGCTTTTAACATCTGGACATCAAAACTGGAAGTTTTACTTTCACTGTATTTTATTGGTCAAAGCAGTCAAAGAGCCCACCCAGGTTCAAGGAGAAAGAATATGTCCCCACGTTTTCAACGGGATGGTGCCACAAAATTTCTAGTCATCTTAATTCACCACAGATAGAAATATGAAGAGCTCATTTGTTATGTTATTTGTGAATGCAGACTAAAGATATTTGTTGGTTTATATAGTAGTGGGAAAATGAGAACTTTTAAAATATTCAACTTTTAGCCCTTGACATGCAAAATGAGTTCATTACATGGTAAGGATGAGGGAGAAAGAAAAGATCTGAAAAAGTAGAAGAGTGATGGATTCAGAAAGTATAGGATGATTGTCAGTGTGATTGTTTTATCTAGCCACATATAGCTGTGTGGTATCAAGATGTAGAAGGCAGAGAGTAGGATTTATCAGGATTGTTGTTTGGAAGAGTGAGTACAATCATTACGAGGAAGCAAGGTATTGATCATGGAATATAAAGTGGGAAAAGAGGTAAGGTAAGAAGGATATCAGTAAAGTGAATGACAGCATAAATATGGTAGAACCGTTGGATTGGTGGCTCTGGAGGAATTGAATAATTATTAGACTTGAAGCATTAGATGGTGCATTAGTGAGGGCATCTCCAACTAAGTCTACCATCAAGTCATGGTGATTTATTATCTCAAATATATGACAAATTTATCTACTTATTTCCAAAACTCCCATATCTAGTTTAAGTAATCAAATTTCTTGCCTTGGCAAGCATGTTGCTTTCTAATTGACTCACCTGTATCCAATTTGAATTCCTTAAAATCCATTCTATACATTGTAACCATAGTGATATTTACAAATGTGAAATCTGGTCAAATCATTCTTCTGCTTAGTAGTCTTGGATTTCTCATTCTCTTAGGAAGCATCTTCCACTACTTATTTCAGCATTATCTGCACAATGCTTCCCCTCACTTCCTCACAATGTGGTTTCAGGCACAACTCCCAAGGCCCCACTCTGGCCTCGGGGAGCAGATTGTTCCCCCTGCAGGAAAACCTTTGTTCTCCACTCAGTTAACTGCTGTTTACCCTTTAGATCTCAGCTTCAGTGTTGCTTTCTTAGGGGAAACTGACTCACATCAAATCCCTCTCTTATAGTAATTTTCATTGTATTTCAGAGTAATTTTTATGGTTGCAATTTTACATTTGTGTGATTGTTTGATTAATCTCTGTCTCCTCCACGAAAACTCCAAGATGCAGGAACTATATCTTACTGGCATTCAGCACAATACCTGGCACATAGGTGTTCAAAAAATACTAATAGGGTAAATAAATGAATTAATTTTATGCTTTTATTTTAATATTTTCATGGTATTAATATTTCTCTCTATGTGATATTTTGTATGTACCTATTTTCTTTTAATTTGAAGATTTATAGTTTAGTTATGTGCTGTATAAATTATATTTAGTTCTTTAATTTTTGTGTTATTTCCAAGGGTGCTCTCCATTGACTCTTTTAATATAGTTCCACTTTACCCCTTAAACCCACTTTCCTCTCCCACCTTCGTCATCCAACTTTATTTGATTTTGTTATTTTTAATTTTTCTAATAATGACCTTTATCTTTTAAAATAATATTTAATCACCCATAACATAATTTGTTGATTCTCTCCCACTGTGAAAGTTGAATGGACCAGAATATATTTCTACTATCTTTCTCTTCTTATTTTTGTTATGAATATAATTAGTCTTTATACAGTTATGGTTTGTAACATTTGCATTCTGTTCTTTAACCGCAAACCCCAGAACATTTTGATATTAGGCTTCAGAATGCTCACTTGTATCATGTTATCTCTATTCATTTTTAGTGGATAGTTTTCTTTTTTAAGTTTTTCTGATAGAGATGGGGTCTTGCTATGTTGCCCAGGCTGGTCTTATCTTGAACTCCTGGGCTCAAGTGATTCTCCTGCCTTGGCCTTTCAAAGTGTTGGGACTGTAGGTGTTAGCCCCTGCGCCTGGCCTCTAATAGTTGTCTTCATTAAAGCCTCATGGGGACTCTATTTTTTTTTTTTTTTGTGGGTTGTTTATTTTGTGTTTGTGAAGTCCGGTAAATTCAGTTGCATCTGCCTTGATGTGGTCATACTATAACACATTTTTTCTGGATAAAGATAAGCCCTTTAACCATTAGATTCAATGTTTTCTTCATTTCAGAAAAGTTTTCTTTTATCTTTGAATTTTTTAACCAGATATTGTGAGCTCTTTCACACTAATTTCTCATTTGTTGGACCTGACTTTAATGTTACATTTCACCTTCTTGTGTTTTCTATTTCGTTTTGCTCAGGATATATTTAAGCCTGTCATTTATATTCTTATCTGTGTTTTTAGCAGCATTATTCTCTCCACTTCCCACTTTTTTTCCTGCTTTTATTGATCTTCATTTCTTTCATGGTTGTCTTTACTCATTACATCCTGAATTTTGCCAGTTTATTTTTTATCACTTTATTTTGTATTTATTTTCAATTATGTCTTCTAAATATCATTTCAGAGAGAAAACATTTTAGAGAAGGCATATTTTTAAAAAACATAGAAAATTTGATCCTGTTTTTTACTGCTTCATGGTATAATTTGTATGTTCTGTACCTTATGTAATTTTCCCTTTTTCTTCTAGTATTTTTATAAAGGTCATCAAGTTTTATTTTTGTAATACAATTATTATAAATAATTATATAATATTATTAGTCTTTGAATATTCTAGATACTTGTGAAAGGATATTGTGGAGGAGGAGCTGGGGGTAGTAAGTATGATGGAAGGCAGACGAGTTTTGGAATCTTGTCTCCAAAACACTCTCATCTGTTAGAATGACTCCTAGGCTATAGGATTGACTATGGCTTAGAGTGGATTCATAGTTGTTAATTTCATCATGTGACTTGTGACTTATCCTTTTCTTTTCATAATAGAATGAAAATTGCCATCTGTCTGGCTTCTTCCCCATCTTTTTGCCTTCTTTCATTACACCACACACGTGTCCTAATTATTCCAAAGGTGATACATTTGCATGTTTCCCTTTAAACTCCTTTCCCTCTGTCACTCTGTGGAGGGTTCACATGCTGCAATATTTCTGTTCCAAGTAAAGATCACAGGTTTTGATCCTCAGTCCTCAGTATACACACCTCTTTTAGGGATTTCTGGGCTTCTTGACTAGCTCAAGCTCTTCAGAGGCATGCACTTTATCTTGGTGTTCAGTCTTGACTGGTTTAAACTTTTGATGTCCAGAAGGTTTTCTTCATGTGTTGTTGTGTGGAATTGTAAATATTTTCTAGCTTTTGTAAGGTTGTGGCTCATATTTATATTTCTCCTGGTTTGAAAGAAGAGAGAGAAAGAAGTATGTCAAATTGAGACTCTTAGATTGGAAATCTGAATTTATTTACACGATTGAGATTGATCTAGAGTTTTATTTTTTCTGCTGTAACTGAAATTTGGATTCAAGATTATATGTGTTTTGTGAATATGTTTGGTAACATTGTGACTTTTCTATAATTTAGGGAAGTTTGATGTAGGAGAAAGAGAAAAAATTTTTGAGAGAATCCTAAATTCATATATGGCCTAACCTTTTAATATCTATGTAATTTTAGATAATAAATAATTTGTTTGAGATTATGTGGCTCTAACAACACCTGCTTCACAGTGTAATTATGAGGATTTCATAGAATTTGTATAGTGAGCATTAGTTTTGATGTTACTTTAAACCTCTTTGCCTTATACATTCTATTTTTTCCATGGAACATTATATGATTTCATGTCCACATATTAATCTCATACTTTCAATTACATTTTATGTTTAAATTGAATATTATGGTAATCGTTATGTAAATGATTAAAAATTTAAAGGGACAACATTTAATGTTGCTCTGGAATTCACCTTTAGTCATAAAATAAAGATTTAAAGTATCATCTGTAGACAATGGCAAAAGCCCTTTTTTGTCATAAGAAAATCAAATATGCTTTATTTCACCCAATTAACATGGCTATCCCGGGAAAACCAAAATGACCATAGGCGGTAATTCCCCAGGCCGTGTGATCTCAGTCTGGCATTCTCGGATCTCCAAGGCATCACTTTGGCCACTACCCTCTGGGGCTGTGATTAGCAGCTCTCTTCCTGTTTTATGCAGCTCTGTGTGTATGTCTGCAGTGATGCCGTACTGGATCTGGTTCATCTTGTGAGAACTATACCTATCTGAATTTTTGATGATGCTCTTTTCTTAGTTCCCTTGGCAAAACAGGTAGGTGAGGGATAGAAATAAAATCTATACTTAGTAAATCGGTGAGCCAAGGTCTGTGACTGGCAATGAGTGAATTACATTCTCCTCAGTTGGGTGCAATGTCTGCCTTCTGTGTGGCCATTTGCTGTTGCCACTAGAGAAGGAGGATGCAGCAGGGATCAGGCACCGTGGAGAAAAGTCGCCGTGTGTAGGCAGCTAAGAATGTAGGAAAATGAACATCTCGGCTCCCAAAGGACGAGAATAAAGCTGTAGAAGAATGTCAGGGAGGAATCTGAGTTGATCGTATGACTATTCATCCTTCTTCCCACATTTTCCCGACTGTTTAGCCCTACTTTTCTTCGCGTTGGGTCTCATTTTCCTTCCTGTGTGGCCTGTGCCTTATGGTCAGCGCGGACGTCCATCAGTCTATCAAATGCCTAGAAACCTTTCGCCCTTTGTCACCTTCTGTGTCACCCAGCATTCCCCTTCTCAGCCCTTTTCATTCTCATGGTGGAATCCTTTTGGTTTGATTTCAAGGGTCCAGCACTGTTGATGTCACAACAGAGTGGCATGGAAAGTTTCTGAAAATTTTGTCATCTAACCTCTCGTGGGGACTTTTAATTAATTCAGCTTTTGACAACTCCATCACATTCATTATATTATCCATTCATTCATTCATTAATACATTTGACATTTATAATGTGTGCCAACAATGTGCCAGGTCAAAACTGCCCACTTACAATGTAGAACATTTCTGTAAATTTTATTTCAATTTTCTTGTATTTCTTCTCCTTTATTCTACCATCCCACTTGATCTTCTGCCACAGAAGTTCTCTTCTCTCTCTCTTTGTTCTCTCTTCTCCTCCTTTATTCTTGATACCTGCTTCTGTGTTGGCTCCTCTAGGCCAGCACTTGTCCTCCTACCTCTGTGATGTTCTGTCTAGTTTATTGATTCCTTTTCCTACTTTACATAATCAATGTGGATAGTTTCTATAGTTGGGTCTTTGCTTTTTAATCTTTTTTTCCTGTGTATTATTTCCTTCAGGGACCTTATGCACTCTTACACATCCGTCTATTATTTTTATATGGATTACTATACAATTACATGTTGAATTTGTACTTTTCCCCCATATATCCTGTCATATGTTTTCACCTGAGCATCTCAATATCTAATACTCTTATTTGCTTAAAATACACGTGATTATTTTCTCCACCCTGACATATTTTATGTTCAACTTTCTAATTTCTAAAAATGGACCTACCATTGTCCTATTTATTCTTGCTTAAATCTTGATATTTTCTTTGAGTTCATGCTCCTTCGTATTCACTCCAGCTGTGATAAGTCACCAATCCTTTGGGTTTTTACTTACCAGTATTTCTATTTCTGTTTCTATAGCCTTAAAGCTGGAACTGTGTAGTCCCAGTTCCTCTGTGTAGCCCCCCAAGTCTGCTCTATTTCAATCTTCTCTTAAGGGAACTCCTTCCCTCCGTTTTTCTTTTCCTCCATTTGATACATCGCACTTATAGATGGGGCATCTTCCCTAATTACTGGCTTCATCCTCAATTCCCGGGACCCATACCTTCACTGGCTCCCTAAATTTATTTAATAATTCTCATATACCTTTGAGAAGTTTCTAATGATAGGCAACAAATGAATATTGACTACCTTTCTTATTTTCCTTTCTTCACCAAAATGATTTTTAGGATGTAGACAATCTGTATGCTTCAACATACACCAAACTTACCATTTTTGAAATATTTTACAATCTACTTGAAAAGACTTCTTTAGACCCTATATTCATGTATTGTAATATTTATCCTCTTTTATGGCTATACTCAAATGCCACATCACTATAGTGCCTTCCCTCATCACTGTAGCTATCTCTTTTCACTCTACTTATATTGTAGAGGATTTGTTACACTTCTTAAACTGCTGATCTCAAGCGATTTGCTTGCTTTGACCTCCCAAAGTGCTGGGCTGACAGGCGTGAGCCACTGCACATGGCCTGATTTGTTCCACTTCTACTATATGCATCACACATGCCTGATGCATATTTTAATGCACGTTGGATAAGGATCGGCTTTGTACGACTTCAGTCTTTCTTGATGTGTGACACCCACTTCTATTTTGGCTCCACTTTAACAAAATGAATAAGTGAGAAGGTAATACTGGAAACAGAACATAACTGTGACTAGGAATTTGGTCTTGACTCGCCATTTAATTTTCTGATATGCATGACTGTTTTCTTCACATGTGAAATTTAACATGAGGTTGAAACTGGAGAATTTTATATTTTTCATGAAAAAGGCAATTTGGGAGAAAAGTCCATTTTCCTGAGGATAAGGTATTGTATGGTTTGACTGCTTTGCCTTGGCTGGTCAACACATTTGTACACCTGGATAGGCACAGTTTTCAGAAATCCTTTCAAGCATCTACCAATTCTCCTGTCTACAAGTTTACCTTCCTCCCATTTCTCATTCCTAATGACAAGGGAAATATCCAGTGTTATCTGAAGTGGTCATAAAAGACATTTTTTTTCTTTTTATGTGAGGAATTGAAACTTATGGCTTTAGATTATGGGGCTTACCATCAAGGAAAGGGCGTAGCGTGGTCAGAGGACAAAACTTCTTCCTGCATTTCTCAGGAAGTCTTTGATTAGTGTGTCCACCTAGGAGCAATTTTTTTTTTGGGGGGGGTGCTGGGAAATATACTTAAGTGATTAAATCCAAGTGTAGACATGAGAGCTTTACCTAAAGCCAGGTCTAATTACCATACCTGAGAATCAGGGAGTATTTAAAATTTGAGAAATAATTTTCTATACTTGAAAGTCACTTATGTAGGTAGGCCTCAGATTATAATAAATAACGTTTATTGTGCTATACTATGTGGTAGGTATGAGGTTAAGTATTTTTACCTATATTATATCACTTATTTCTTACAAATGGAGCAAGGGAGCAAGCAAGCAAGGGAGGTATTATTATCCCTATTTTATGTATTTATGTATTTATTTTTGATTTCTATTCTTTTGGTTTTTTTGTTGTTTTTTATTGATGTATCATAGTTGTACATGTTTTGGGGTACATGTGATATTTTTGATACATGTATACAATGTGTAATGATCAAATCAGAGTAATTTGGATATTCATCACCTCGAATATTTATCTTTTCTTTGTGTTGGGAACATTATAATTTTTCTCTGCTAGCTATTTTAGAATATATAATAAATTATTGTTCCCTATGATTTCTCCATTGTACAATTGAATACTAAAATTTATTATGTCTATCTACATATCCCCAGTTCAATAACTATAATTTCTCTGCTGTGCAATCAAATACTAGAACTTCTTCCTTCGAACGCTATATCCCTAATTCAATAACAAGTAAACTGAAGCTCAGCATGGTCTAGGAACTTTGTTACGTTAACACAGCAAGTGAGTGTTGCAGCCTGGATCCAAAAATCAGGCCTGGTCGACCTCAAAGTCCAGATTATTGACCTTTCTACCATAATGTATGGAGGTAAGTTTGTGAATTTATTCAAAAATCAGGCCTGGTCAACCTCAAAGTCCAAATTATTAACCTTTCTACCATAATGTATGGAGCTAAGTTTGTGAATTTTCATAGTTTTAGGATTTGAAGATAAAAGAGGTGAAAATTTGGAAATGGTTTCTGGACTTTTGAATTTTGGCAAACAGCTATGTGATAAGTCCACCCTGCAGACCCACAACTTTTGGAAATAACTCTACTGTGACCTTCAGTAGCAGAAGCTGCTCCTGGGGTGGTAGAACACAAGGAAAACACACACTAGTAAAAATTTCATGTGCCTTCTTTGTTCTGTACATGTGTTTCTCTTGATTAGTATATGGTAGTATCCTCAAATCATAGTAACAAGTATACTTTTTCCAGTGAATTGCATGTGTATATTATTGTATAGTATAAAAGGCAATATTTCCATTTATTATCATCTGTGCTTTTCAAAGAAACTCTGTGAGTCCAACAGGGCAGATAATAGAAGCAACTGCCCTTTCTCTCCCCCGTTAAATGCAACCCAATGTCACAGTCCGTAGCATCCCCAGATGAGTGTATTAAAGGTGAGAAATTCCCAAAGTCAAACTCAGTAGCATCCTTGAATGAGTGTATTAAAGGTGATAAATTTATTTTATTTATGTTCTTTTTAACCTGTGTTCTCAGAAACAGAGACTACTGTATTTCATCCTACCTTAGTCTTGCTTAGCAGTTTCTCTTCTCCTTTGAGGCTCTTTTATTTTTAAATCATTGTTCATATCTTCTAATTTCCCCTTTCTCCCATTCTTTCCATATTTTTAATCTTTTTTTAACTTTATCTCTGTTCTGCTTTTTCTGTATTTCAAATTGATCCATAGACTTTAGAAAAATGAGTTGAATGCTGGCTGTAGGCTGTCTTATCCCCAGCAAGAAACATGTTGTAAAGTCTTAGTACCTTCCCACTGGAAGATCATTAGTCATGGCTACTATGTTTTTAAATGAGAATTGTTTTAATTATGCATTTTAAAATTATTGGAAAACATGAGGGAGAGGAATGAACCATAAGTAATAAAGATTATTGACTTGAAGTTAAGACCTTACTATGATCTGGGATTATTAGTCTTACTTGTCAATCAAGAACTATCCACTTTCTATTTGTTTGTGGGTATCTAATATGGTTATATACACAGAAGTAATGATAATTGATATGAAAAGGTCTCCTCCTGTTATATCAATTTAGGTATTTTTCACACATTGTGTACCTCATTCTTCTCCTATTCAATTTTCACTAATTCCTAAAGGGTCAGGTCAATGTCCTTGGCATAACCTCCTCCACCTGTTCTTAATGGCAATTGTATCTTCTGCCCTCCAATATCTATAACACTTTTTTCTTTAAAACTCTTTGAATGTTTATCTTAATACTCATTTGATATATATTGTATACCACATATGATTGTTTGTTATATGTACAATACATGTTTTTTCAACTTTTTTTGGTTCTTTCCATTTACAGGAATTAGAGAAAGAACTAATCAGTGTGAAGGAGAATTGTCAGTAAAATTACAAGAAAAGATTGAGATCATAATTGACCTTTGAGGATAATAAAATTTAAAGACCAAAAGGATGGACTTCACAGAAACATGACCTTAGGTTGTTTTTGCAGTTGTAGTAACTGGTTATATGACCAACAAAATATGAAGAATGGGTAAACAAATTCTGATAGTAATGATCAGTCACTTTGCAAATATAAAGTTACTATTTACTACTGTATTGTACAGGTTCAATAATCTTTGTGTACACATTTTATGTATTTATTGTCAGGCTGCTATATAATTCAGTATTTATAATAGATACTATGTATAGCAATCTATGGTTAGTTTTGGTCTTAACCAGGAAAAATCACTCTTTTGAGTTTTGCTGTTTTTACCAGATTATTTTTACTGGATGATTGCTCATATTATTTGATTATTATTGCAATTTGTCTTTCTGGAATAGGAAGCAAGAGGCCTGAATTCTGGTTCCTATTCTATCAATTGTGTGAATTCTGGAAACTCAGTTTACTTTTCTGGGCCTCATGGTTTTCATCTGAATGATGACCAACTTGGATAAAATGGTCTTTATATAATTCCATAGGCATTTCCCTTCCCAAGGGCTTGAGTCTTTTTCAACAATTATAGAGTTTTCCGGTCCCTCTTCCCAGTGCCTCAGCACCTTGCTATTCATGTTCATCTGATCAGTTGTTTGCATGCTGACTTACATTACCCTGATGGGCAGTACCTGTGGCTGTTTCTGCTCCCTCACCCAGTCCATAGGCTTCTGGTTGTAAAAAGTGTGCATCTTGAGACTGTGGACAGTTAGCTCCAGAGGTGACAGTATAATCACTTCACGTAGAAGAGGATAGAGAGAGACTCATGCCAGTGGTGGTGAGCAAGTATTAGAGATATGATGTGTGCCTCTGTGAGTTTTGGGGTCTAAGATAAATTATGGCACTAGGAAGATGGTCCTTTGTGTCAGAAGAACTGGAGTTGTTGGTGCAAAAAAGTATGATGTCAGCATAGCAGTTTTATTTGTACCTCAGCAACTTCTAAAATAATCTCTATTAAGTGTTTTCAGGAACTACTTTCTACTATAGGAAAATGATTGAGGTGAGTATCCATCTGGACACAGAGAAATATAACACTGTTTTCTGCTCACCCTCCACTTCACATATAAATACAATATGTGTTAAAGGACTAAATTTCTAGTGTCACAGTTTGTACTTTATAGTTTGAAGTCAATAAGAAAGCTCATATACCTTCCTAAAAGTCACTTGTTAATGTTTGATATTAATCTAATTTTATCATAAATTAAAAGTATAAAACTACAAATTTCTTAAAGATAAAATATCCGAATGGATTCAGTCAAATTAAGCATGATAATATCAAATATCAGAATAGGTTACCATGCAGGAGGTACTGAGTACTTAAAAGGGTGGGGAATGCAATGAACATAAAAGCTGGTACCAAGGGGAGGAGGAGACAGTGATGAATTAAAACATTATCTTAACTAATCCAAGTGCTGGTCTTCAATACTTTCATGTGTATAGACAAAGAGAAACTGCAGAGATTTCTCACAACCTCTGTGTCCATTTTATGCATGTATCTTAGCAGAAACACTGGTGAAATCCCTCCAAAACATATTTATTAGGCATGGAAAAAGCCTTACATGACAGGTGGCATAGGCTCCTTATGAAATCATTGCAGGATGGGAAGCCATTTAGGGCTTCATAATTGTGAAAGATTGTATAGAAACTGAGGCACTTAAATAGCAGTAAGCATGAGAAAATGTGGTAGATAATGGTGGTGATTCTATTTCTTGTGAAAGTCCACTTACTCTAGTCTGCTACAGTTGTGGGCTTTCCGATTTCACATACCCCAGTCTCTATATTCTCTCAATCCACAGCCTACCTCAACTAAGTCCGTCCCAGGCACCTCTTACTGCAGTGATAATCCATCTGTTAATCATGTTTTCCTCTTATGTCTACTTTCTGTCAGAGAATTGTGGGTGCAAACTGGGAAGGGAAGGAAATTATAAGAATATGTATAAGTACAAATGGAATATGTTGGAAATGAGGAATAGTTAATATCACAGGTCATTTAAACACCTGATGAATTTCATGGATAGTCAGGAATCTTGTTCTTACCTAATCTGTTAATTTTAGATCAGACATTACACTGAAAGTATTGATGATGGGTTTAAATCAGGTTGCAGCTCACATGTTGTGATAATATTATGTTGATTTTTTGTTTTTAATATGTGAGGAACAGAATAACTGTATACTATTTATTCATAGTGACATTGCAATATTGATTTTAGTACATATTATTATCTTCATAATCACAATTTCCTCCCCATTTTCTTAGTTCTCATAATTTTAGCCACAGCCCAGTTGGCTGGACCAATGGATGGAGAGAATCACTCAGTGGTATCTGAGTTTTTGTTTCTGGGACTCACTCATTCATGGGAGATCCAGCTCCTCCTCCTAGTGTTTTCCTCTGTGCTCTATGTGGCAAGCATTACTGGAAACATCCTCATTGTGTTTTCTGTGACCACTGACCCTCACTTACACTCCCCCATGTACTTTCTACTGGCCAGTCTCTCCTTCATTGACTTAGGAGCCTGCTCTGTCACTTCTCCCAAGATGATTTATGACCTGTTCAGAAAGCGCAAAGTCATCTCCTTTGGAGGCTGCATCGCTCAAATCTTCTTCATCCACGTCGTTGGTGGTGTGGAGATGGTGCTGCTCATAGCCATGGCCTTTGACAGATATGTGGCCCTATGTAAGCCCCTCCACTATCTGACCATTATGAGCCCAAGAATGTGCCTTTCATTTCTGGCTGTTGCCTGGACCCTTGGTGTCAGTCACTCCCTGTTCCAACTGGCATTTCTTGTTAATTTAGCCTTCTGTGGCCCTAATGTGTTGGACAGCTTCTACTGTGACCTTCCTCGGCTTCTCAGACTAGCCTGTACCGACACCTACAGATTGCAGTTCATGGTCACTGTTAACAGTGGGTTTATCTGTGTGGGTACTTTCTTCATACTTCTAATCTCCTACGTCTTCATCCTGTTTACTGTTTGGAAACATTCCTCAGGTGGTTCATCCAAGGCCCTTTCCACTCTTTCAGCTCACAGCACAGTGGTCCTTTTGTTCTTTGGTCCACCCATGTTTGTGTATACACGGCCACACCCTAATTCACAGATGGACAAGTTTCTGGCTATTTTTGATGCAGTTCTCACTCCTTTTCTGAATCCAGTTGTCTATACATTCAGGAATAAGGAGATGAAGGCAGCAATAAAGAGAGTATGCAAACAGCTAGTGATTTACAAGAGGATCTCATAAATGATATAATAAGCCCTTCTCATTAAACATGATATGGCTTTATGTTTCTTTCTTTGATATTTTAGATTCAGGAACTATGAGACATTATGTATTGATTTGAATGTTATTAGACCTGTAACATAATTCTTATCTGATGAATATATGATGAATATATTCCTTGTTCAAAATGAGTCATAAATTCAACACATCTCTACATCTATATTATGCCCATTTAATTTCTTTCAGCAATGTTTTGTAGTTTTTGGTGAACAGGTACTTTATGCATATGTACTTTATATTTATCTCTAAGTTTTATATTTCTGATGCCCTTTTAAGTGACATTTTTATTTCAATTTACAATTGTTTATTCTTAGCTTATGGGCACATAATAGATCTTTGTTTGACATTATATCCTGTAAACTTGCAAAACTTATAAGTTCCATCAGTTTTTTATAGGTTATGTAGGATTTTCTTTATAGATGATTATGTTGTCAGTGAATAAAGACATTTGCTTTTAAAATTCTAGTATGAATTCACTATATTCATTTTGTTGAATGCTGAGTAGAATTAGTTAGAGTAGACATCTTTGACTTGTTCCTGTTATGAAATATATTAAATATTTCATCATTAAGTATAATGTTAGCTATAATTTTTTTCATAGGTACTCTTTAACAGGCTGAGAAAGTTTTCTGTATTCACAGTTTGCTGAAAATTTCTTTTATCTTTAGTCAGGAATGGATCTTGGATTTTGTAAAGCTTTTTCGTTTCAGAATCAGGGTAATGCTGGCCCTTTAGAATGAGTTGGGAAGCATCTGCTCTTCTTAAATTTTCTGCCATAATTTTGTAGAATTCATATAATTTTTTTCTTTAAAAAGGGAAGTACTTAAGTATTTTTTCCCATAAGTTACCCATAAGTAAATCTAAAGGAAAGTGGGAAACTTTGATACGCATTGGTTGCCCCCTGGTGGAGATTTCTGGGTTCTTGATTATTTTAACACTGGAGATAGAATCTGGTGGAATGACGTCAATGCTACCGTGATTAAGAGGTGTGTAGGAAATGCTTCATGTAAAAGAGAAAATAGTCTTTATGAGAATCTGCCTGGTGGAAAGGAGTTGGTGCAACAATAACAATATAAATTAGTGAAAAATTTTAAATTGACAAATAATAATTGTATCTATTTATGGGGTACAATGTAATGTTTTGATACATGTTTAAATTGTGGAAAGATTAGGTCTATCTTATTGACATACATATCTTTTTTGTGGTGAAAACATTTAAAATCTACTCTGTTAGTCATTTTGAAACATACAATACCTTGTTATTTATTACAGTCACCATTCTGTGCAATAGTTCACTGAAACTTTGTCTAACTGAAACTTTGAACCCTTTTATCAACATCTACCTTTTCCATGTCTACCCCCAACTACTAGCCTCTGATAATCACCATTCCATTCTCTACTTCTATGAATTCAACTTTTTTAGATTCCACATATCAGTGAGATCATGTGATATTTGTCTTTTCGTGCCTGGCTTATTTCACTTAGCGTGATATCTTCTGGGTTAATTCATGTTGTCACATATATCAGGTTTTCCTTCCTATTAAGGCTGAGTAGTATTCCATTGTATATATACACTACATTTTCTTCATCCATTTGTCAGTTGATAGACACCTGTGTTGATTTCATATTTGGGTATTGTGAATAATGCTGCAATGAACATGAGCCTGGAGATATCTCTTCAGCATATTGACTTAAATTCCTTTGGATATATACAAGGAAGTGGGATTGCTGGATCATATAGTAATTCTAGTTTTAGTTTTTTGAGTAACTTTTATCTATTTTTCATAATAGTATTAATTTACATTTCCACCAACAGTGTACGAGGGTTCCCTTTTCTCTGTATCCTCTTCAACACTTGTTATCTTTTATCATTTTGATAGTAGCCATTCTAACAGGTATGAAGTGGCATCTCACTGTCATTTTAATTTGCATTTCCCTGATAATTAGGATGACAAACTTTTTTTATGTTAGTCATTTGTATTTTTTTTGAGAAATGTCTATTTAGGACCTTGCCCATTTTTTGACTTGGTTATTTGTTTTCTTGATATTGAGTTGAGTCCCTTATATATTTGGAGATTAGCCTTTCATCAGATGTATGCTCTGCAAATATTTTCTCACAACTTGTAGGTTGTCTCTTCACCATATTGTTTCCTTTGCTGTGCAGAAGCTTTTTAGTTTGATGCAATCCCATATATTTTTGCTTTTGTTGCCTGTGCTTTGGGGGTGATATCCAAGAAATCTTTGACCAAACCAACATTGTGGAACTTTTCCCCTATGTTTTCATCTAGTAGTTTTACAGTTTTATGTTTAAACCTTTAATCCATTTTGAATTGATTTTTGTGTATGGTGTGAGATAAGGATACACACCATACACATTCGTGTTCTTCTGCATGTGGATATCTAGTTTTCTTAACACCATTTATTGAAACAAATGTCTATTCTTCATTACGTTTTCTGGGCACCTTTGTCAAAAATTTATTGGTCATAAATGCATGAGTTTATTTCTGGGCTCCTTATTCTGTTCCCCTGGTCAATGTGTCTGTTTTTGTGCAAGTGTCATATTGTTTTGATTACTATGGTTTTGTGATATGTACTTGTTTTGGGGGGGATCGATTTTTATTTGGGTTTCTCACAGTGGTTAGAGAACAACCACAGCACAGGAAATGCCTCACCAAGATTGCCCAGAAAACTGACCAGCTGCATCTTATTGCTTAAAAATACACATATTCACAATAACTGACAAATGGTGATGTGCCTCACACAGGAATGTGTTCACATTTGCAATGCTGTGTACAGACTTCACTTCGTTCAACATAGATTTTGGTTTAATGGAATTCAAATGCGGATGCTTGTTCACAGCCTTGGATTTGTCTGTTTTTGGAGAGATACAACCTCCATGAGTATATCTGCATGAAAACCACAGACAATGAAGGTATTTCTTCATTGATTTATTTATTCTTTTGACTGTAGTAACAAACCCTGGATGACACCCTTCCTTTTAATTCACCTGGAAACCAGACTCAATCAAATCTCCCTGGTCCCCTCACTATTCCTTCAAATTCCCTATTTCTATCTCTTCCTGAGGAGGGTAACCTCCTGTAGCAGGGGTCAGACTGTGACTTGGGAATCAAGCTTAGGTCTGCAGGTTGCCTGTTCATCTTCTTGTAAAATATTGTAGAACACTGCAGTGAATCCAACAGTTAACACTCAGAGCAGTTCCCTGCTCTAACTCAGGAAAGAGACTTCAGAGGGTCAGGATTCATCCATTTGATCAGTTAACTGAGAAGGATTCATTTTGGTAAAACTTGTTCAGCTTTGAGACACTTCAGTGAGTTGTTTGAGATTTTTTTTTAAATTATATTTTAAGTTCTGGGGTACATATGCAGAACATGCAGGATTGTTACATAGGTATACACGTGCCATGGTGGTTTGCTGCACCCATCAACCCATCATCTACATTAGGTATTTAACCCAATGCTAACCTTCCCCCAGCCCCTACCCCCAGACAGGCCCCGGTGTGTTGTGTTCCCCTCCCTCTGTCCATGTGTTCTCATTGTTCAACTCTCATTTATGAGTGAGAACATCGGGTGTTTGGTTTTCTGTTCTTGGATTAGTTTGCTGAGAATGATGGTTTCCAGCTTAATCCATGTCCCTGAAAAGGATATGAACTCATCCTTCTTTATGGCTGCATAGTATTCCATGGTGTATATATGCCACATTTTCTTTATGCAGTCTATCACTGAATGGGCATTTTGGTTGGTTCCAAGTCTTTGCTATTGTGAACAGTGCCACAATAAACATATGTGTGCATGTGTCTTTATAGTAGAATGATTTATAATCCTTTGGATATATACCCAGTAATGCAATTACTGGGTCAAATCATATTTCTAGTTCTAGAACCTTGAGGAATCACCACACTGTCTTCCACAATGGTTGAACTAATTTACACTCCCACCAACAGTGTAAAAGCATTCTTATTTCTCCACATCCTTTCCAGCATCTGTTGTTTCCTGACTTTTTAATGATCGCCATTCTATCTGGCGTGAGATGGTATCTCATTGTGGTATTGATATGCATTTCTCTGATGACCAGTGATGATGAGCTTTTTTTCATATGTTTGTTGGCTGCATAAATGTCTTCTTTAGAGAAATGTCAGTTCATATCCTTCACCCACTGATGGGTTTGTTTGTTATTTTCTTGTAAATTGTTTAAGTTCTTTGTAGATTCTGGATATTAGCCCTTTGTCAGATGGATAGATTGCAAAAATTTTCACCCATTCTGTAGGTTGCCTGTTCACTCTGATGATAGTTTCTTTTGCTGTGCAGGAGCTCTTTAGTTTAATTAGATCCCATTTGTCAATTTTGGCTTTTGTTGCCATTGCTTTTGGTGTTTTAGTCATGAAGTTTTTGTCCATGCCTATGTACTGAATGGTATTGCCTAGGTTTTCTTCTAGGGTTTTTTATGGTTTTAGATCTTATGTTTAAGTCTTTAATACATCGTGAGTTAATTTTTGTGTAAAGTGTAAGAAAGGGATCCAGTTTCAGTTTTCTGCATATGGCTAGCCGGTTTTCCCAACACCATTTATTAAAAAGGGAATCGTTTCCCCATTGCTTGTTTTTGTCAGGTTTGTCAAAGATCAGATAGTTGTAGATGTGTGGTGTTATTTCTGAGGCCTCTGTTCTGTTCCATTGGTCTACATATCTGTTTTGGTACCAGTACCATGCTGTTTTGGTTACTGAAGACTTGTAGTATAGTTCGAAGTCAGACAGCGTGATGCCTCCAGATTTGTTCTACTTGCTTAGGACTGTCCTAGCTCTGCGGGCTCATTTTTGGTTCCATATGAAATTTAAAGTAGTTTTTTCCAATTCTGTGAACAAAGTCAGTGGTAGCTTGATGGGGACAGCATTGAGTCTATAAAAACTTTGGGCAGTATGTCCATTTTCATGATATTGATTCTTCCTATCCATGAGCATGGAATGTTTTTCCATTTGTTTGTGTCCTCTCTTATTTCCTTGAGCAGTGGTTTGTAGTTCTCCTTGAAGAGGTCCTTCACATCCCTTGTAAGTTGGATTCCTAGGTATTTTATTCTCTTAGTAGCAATTGTGAATGGGAGAGTTCACTCATGATTTGGCTCTCTGTTTGTCTGTTTTTTGCATATAGGAATGCTTGATTTTTGCACATTGATTTTGTATCCTGAGACTTTTCTGAAGTTGCTTATTAGCTTAAGAAGATTTTGGGCTGAGACCATGGGGTTTTCTAAATACACAATCATGTCATCTGCAAACAGAGACAATTTCTTTCTCTTGCCTGATTGCCCTGGCCAGAACTTCCAATACTACGTTGAATAGGAGTGGTGAGATAGGGCATCCTTGTCTTGTGCTGGTTTTCAAAGGGAATGCTTCCAGTTTTTCACCATTCAGTATTGGCTGTGGGTTTTTCATAAATAGGTATTATTATTTTGAGATATGTTCCATCAGTACCTAGTTTATTGAGAGTTTTTAGCATGAAGGGCTGTTGAATTTTTTCGAAGGCCTTTTCTGCATCTATTGAGAGAAGCATGTGGTTTTTGCCATTGGTTCTATTTATATGATGAATTATGTTTATTGATTTGCGTATGTTGAACTAGCCTTGTATCCCAGGGATGAAGCCGACTTGATTGTGGTGGACAAGCTTTTGATGTGCTGCTGGATTTGGTTTGCCAGTATTTTATTGAGGATTCTTGCATCGATGTTCATCAGGGATATTGGCTTGAAATTTTCTTTTTTTTTGTTGTGTCTCTGCCAAATTTTGGTACCAGAATTATTCTGGCCTCATAAAATGAGTTAGGGAGGATTCCCTCTTTTTCTGTTGTTTGGAATAGTTTCAGAAGGAATGGTACCAGCTCCTCTTTGTACCTCTGGTAGAATTCGGCTGTGAATCCATCTGGTCCTGGACTGTTTTTTGGTTGGTAGGCTATTAATTCTGCCACAATTTCAGACCTTGTTATTGGTCTATTCAGGGATTCAACTTCTTCCTGGTTTAGTCTTGGGAGGGTGTATGTGTCCAGGAATTTGTCCATTTCTTCTAGATTTTCTAGTTTGTGTAGAGGTGTTTATAGTATTCTCTGATAGTAGTTTGTATTTCTGTGGGATCAGTGGTGGTATCTCCTTTATCATTTTTTATTGCATCTGTTTGATTCTTCTCTGTTTTCTTCTTTATGAGTCTGGCTAGTGGTCTATCTATTTTATTGATATTTTCAAAAAACCAGCTCCTGGATTCATTGATTTTTTTTGAAGGTTTTTTTGTGTCTCTATCTCCTTCAGTTCTGCTCTGATCTTAGTTATTTATTGTCCTCTGCTAGCTTTTTGTATGCTCCTGCCTCTTGAGTTCTTCTAATTGAGATGTTAGGGTGTCAATTTTAGATCTTTCCTGCTTTCTCTTGTGGGCATTTAGTGCTATAAATTTCCCTCTACACACTGCTATAATTGTGTACCAGAGATTCTGGTATGTTATGTCTTTGTTCTCATTGGTTTCAAATAACTTATTTATTTCTGCCTTAATATCTTTATTTACCCAGTAGTTGTTCAGGAGCAGGTTGTTCAGTTTACATGTAGTTGTGTGGGTTTGAGTCAGTTTCTTAATCCTGAGTTCTAATTTAATTGCACTGCGATCTGAGAGACTGTTATGATTCCCATTTTTTTTTGCATTTGCTGAGGAGTGTTTTACTTCCAAATATGTGGTCAATTTTAGAATAAGTGCAATGTGGTGCTGAGAAGAATGTATATTCTGTTGATTTGGGGTGGAGAGTTCTGTAGCTGTCTATTGGATCCACTTGGTCCAGAGCTGAGTTCAAGTCCTGGATATCCTTGTTAACTTTCTGTTTCGTTGATCTGTCTAGTATTGACAGTGGGATGTTAAAGTCTCCCACTATTATTGTGTGAGGGTCTAAGTCTCTTTTTAAGTCTCTAAGAGCTTACTTTATGCATCTGGGTGCTCCTGTATTGGGTGCATATATATTTAGGATAATTAGCTCTTCTTGTTGCATTGATCCTTTTACCATTATGCAATGCCCTTATTTGTCTCTTTTGATCTTTGTTGGTTTAAAGTCTGTTTTATCAGAGACTAGGATTGCGACCCCTGCTTTTTTTTGCCTTCCATTTGCTTGGTAAGTATTCCTCCATCCCTTTATTTTGAGCCTATTTGTGTCTTTGCACGTGAGATGGGTCTCCTGAATACAGAACACTGATGGGTCTTGACTCTTTAGCCAATTTGCCAGTCTGTGTTTTTTAATTGGAGCATTTAGCCCATTTACATTTAAGGTTGATATTGTTATGTGTGAATTTGATCCTGTCATTACGATGCTAGCTGGTTATTTTGCTGTTAGTTAATGCAGTTTCTTCATAGTGTCAATGGTCTTTACAATTTGGTATGTTTTTGCAGTGGCTGATACCAGTTGTTCCTTTCCATGTTTAGTGCTTCCTTCAGGAGCTCCTTTAAGGCAGGCCTGGTGGTGACAAAATCTCTCAGCATTTGCTTGTCTGTAAAGATTTTATTTCTCCTTCACTTATGAAGCTTAGTTTGGCTGGATATGAAATCCTGGGTGGAAAATTCTTTTCTTTAAGAATGTTGAATATTGGCCCCCATTCTCTTCTGGCTTGTAGAATTTCTGCTGATAGATCTGCTGTTAGTCTGATGGGCTTCCCTTTGTGGGTAACCTGACCTTTCTCTCTGGCTGCCCTTAACATTTTTTCCTTCATTTCAACCTTGCTCAATCTGATGACTATGTGTCTTGGGGTTGCTTTTCTTGAGGAGTGTCTTTGTGATGTTCTCCGTATTTCTGAATTTGAATATTGGCCTGCCTTGCTAGGTTAGGGAAGTTCTCCTGGATAATATCCTGAAGAGTGTTTTCTAACTTGGTTCCATTCTCCCCATCACTTTCAGGTACAGCAATCAAACGTAGATTTGGTCGTTTCACATAGTCCCATATTTCTTGGAGGCTTTGTTCATTTCTTTTCATTCTTTTTTCTCTAATCTTGTCTTCTTGATTTATTTCATTAAGTTGATATTCAGTCTCTGATATCTTTCTTCCGCTTGATCGAATCAGTGCTTGATCCTTGTGCATGCTGCATGAAGTTCTCATGGCATGTTTTTCAGCTCCATCAGGTCATTTATGTTCTTCTCTAAACTGGTTATTCTAGTTAGCAATTGGTCTAGCCTTTTTTCCAGGTCCTTAGCTTCCTTACATTGGGTTAGGACATGCTCCTTTAGCTTGGAGGAGTTTGTTATTACCTACCTTCTGAAACCTACTTCTCTCAATTCATCAAACTCATTCTCCGTCCAGTTTTCTTTTGTTCCCTTGCTGGTGAGGAGTTGTGATCCTTTGGAGGAGAAGAGGCGTTCTGGTTTTTGGAATTTTCAGCCTTTTTGCTCTGGTTTCTCTCCATCTTCATGGATTTATCTACCTGTGGTTTCTGATGTTGGTAACCTTCTGATGAGGTCACTGAGTGGCTGTCCTTTTTGTTGATGTTGATGCTATTCCTTTTTGTTTGTTAGTTTTCCTTCTAACAGTCAGGCCCCTCTGCTGCAGGTCTGTTGGTGTTTGCCCTAGGTCTACTCTAGACCCTGTTTGCCTGGGCATCACCAGCGGAGGCTGGAGAACAGCAAAGATTGCTGCCTGTTTCTTCCTCTGGAAGTTTTGTCCAAGAGGGGCACCCACCAGATGCCAGCCAGAGCTCTCCTGTATGAGGTGCCTGTTGGCACCTACTGGGAGGTGTCTCCCAGTCAGGATACACGGGGGTTAGGGACCCACTTGAGGAGGCAGTCTGACCCTTATCAGAGCTCGAATACTGTGCTGGGAGATCTGCTGCTCTCTTCAGAGCCATCAGGCTTTTCAAAGATGCTTTAAGTCTGCTGAAGCTGTGCCCACAGGCGCCCTTTCCCCTAGGTGCTCTGTTCCAGGGAGATGGGGGTTTTATCTATAGGTCTCTGACTGGGGCTGCTGCCCTTTTTTCAGAGATGCCTTGCCCAGAGAGGAGAAATCTAGAGAGGCAGTCTGGCTGCTGTGGCCTTGCTGAGTTGTGGTGGGCTCCACCCAGTTCAAACTTTCTGGTGGCTTTGTTTACACTGTGGGGGTAAAACTGCCTACTCAAGCCTTGGCAATGTGGAAGCCCCTCCCGCCACCAAGCTCGAGTGTCCTAGGTCAACCTCAGACTGCTGTGCAAGAATTTCAAGCCAGTGGATCTTAGCTTGCTGGGCTCTGTATGGGTGGGACCCGCCGAGCCAGACCACTTGGCTCCCTGGCTTCAGCCCCCTTTCCAGGAGAGAGAATGGTTCTGTCTTGTTGGCATTCCAGTTGCCATTGTGGCATGAAAAAAAAAAAAAAACTCCTGCAGCTAGCTCGGTGTCTGCCCAAACAGCTGCCTAGTTTTGTGCTTGAAACCTAGGGCCTTGGTGGCAGAGGCACTGGAGGGAATCTCCTGGTCTGTGGATTGTGAAGACCGTGAGAAAAGCATAGTTTCTGGGTGGAGTGCACCGTTCCTCATGGTACAGTCCCTCGGGGCTTCCCTTGGCTAGGGGAGGGAATTCCCCCAACCCCTTGCACTTCCCGGGTGAGGCGACACCCCATTCTGCTTTGGCTCACCCTCCGTGCGCTGCACCCACTGTCCAACCAGTCCCAGTGAGATGAACCAGGTACCTCAGTTGGAAATGCAGAAATCACCTGCATTCTGCATTGATCTCACTGGGAGCTGCAGACTGGAGCTGTTCCTATTTGGCCATGTTGCCAGCAAATTCTGAGATTTTTTTTAAAAGTGCAAAGAAAGACATCTGAGGGGTGCTGACATATTCGGGTCACCTCAAGCCACATGCCAGCTTGCTTGCCCCTGTTGGATTCAGCAGAGGGAGATAGGCCTTGCCATACCTGTGGTGTCTGCCAAAGCTTCCTCCTGGCAATTCTTGGGAGTGCTGATACCTGGGCCACAGTTAGTCCAAGTTTATCACTGAAGATCCTATCAAAGTTTTGTCTGAAATTCCACTTTTGCCTTTTGTCCTAAGTGGTTGTGGACATCTCCAGGGGCTGATACCAAGGACTAGGAACAGCTGAGGGAGGCAGAAAGGTTCAGAGTACATCTCTATTTACAGGGAACAGAACACCGGCCTCCGAGAGTCCATGGAGCAATGGGAAAATTGCAGTGATTACTCATCACTGTGAAACTTCTACTTTGAATACAGTATCTTCTGGCAAGCATAGGGGACTGCAGTCGACAATGCTGCTGAATATACCTGAGTACATAGTAAGACATTTGTTTGGTAAACAGTCAATGCATACAATAAATTACCTTGAGAGGGCCATCTGTGCTCCAGATGTGAGAGTTCATGTGAATAGAATGGCCGCAATTCAAAGAATCTTCACAGGAAAACAGGGCTCAGAGCTCATCCACAATGGACAGACAGGGAGGGAAACAGGTGGAGGTTAGTTCACCACTTCCTCATAAGAAGGTAATAAATAGTTTGGTGAAATAAAATGGTAGCACTGAGTAATTGCGGGCTTCTGGATAGGCAGGCAGGTTGATTTCATGTTGCTACTGCTGGACTTGAGGGCTGGCTTGGCTGTGGTGGCAGACACAGCAGCAGCTCAGGATGATGGTGATGGTCCACGCGAGCCAGAACCACCAATGTTCATAGTAGTAGTTACAACACTGAGACTGCCCATAGCAGTGTCCTGTTGTGTCACAGATGTAGCTTTGATTGTTGGTACACACACAGGCTTCCTTATCCTGTGGGGGTTCAGCCCTGGCTGACACAGGGCTGGGCAGTGCCTAGAGGTGCAAGAGCTCCATGCCACCCAGGAGTCTTCCCTCCTTACTCCTCCTGCTCCTCCGACCCAGCGCGGGCACCTCCCTCCACCCTTGCTGCACTTCTCCTCTACCCTCTTCTTCCTTCTTTTGTTCTTTTCCTGTAATACGTTTTGAAGTCAGATTGTGAGGCCTTCAGCTTTGTTCTTATTGCTCAAGAGTGCTTTAGTTATTCAGGGTCCTTTGTGGTTCCATATAAATTTTCAAATTGTTTTTTCTATTTCTGTGAAGAATGACATTGAAATTTTGATAAATGTTGCATTAAACCTATAAATCGCTTTGGGCAGTAAGGACATTTTAAGAATATTAATTCTTCCTACCCATGAACATAAAATATCTTTCCATGTATTTGTGTCATCTACAATTTTTCATCAATGTTTTATAGTGTTCAGAATACAGATCTTTCACCTCCTTGGTTAAATGTACTCCTAAGTACAATCCTAAATGTGCTCCTAAACAAAAAAAATACAGTTTTTTTGATGCTACTGTGAATGAGATTGATTTCTTTATTTTTGTCATATAGTTTGTTGTGAGTGTAAAGAAACTACTGAGTTTTGTATATTGATTTTGAATTCTGCAATTTTATTGAATTCATTTATCATTTCTAATAGCTTTTTGGTGGAGTTTTTAGGGTTTCCTATATATAATATGTCATCAAACAGAGACAATTTTACTTCTTCCTTTTCAATTTGAATATCTTTTATTTCTTTATTTGGCTTAATTGCTCTGGCTAGGACTTCCAGAAATAAGTTGAATAGAAGTAGTGAGAATAAATATCCTTGTCTTGTTCTTGATCTTAGCAGAAAAGATTTCACTTTTTCATTGTTGGGTATGATGTGAGCTGTGAGCTTGTTATATATGTCCTGTTTTGTGTTAAGGTACATGCCTTCTACGCCCAATTTGTTGAGAGGTTTTGTCATGAGAGGATTTTGAATTTAGTCAAATGCTTTTTCTGCATATATAGAGATAGCTATTTTTTTATCCTTCATTCTGTTAATGTGGTTTATCACATTTGATTTGTGTTTGCTGAAACATCTGGAGGATAAATCCACTTTATCATGGTAAATGTTCTCCTAATATGTTGTTAAATTCTGTTTGCTAGTACTTATTTTGAGGACTTTTGTATCTATGTTCATCAGGGATATTGGTTGGCCCATACTTTTCTTATAGTGTCCTTGTTTGCCTTTTTATTTTTATTTTTATTTATTTATTTTTTAAATTATACTTTAAGTTTTAGGGTACATGTGCACAACGTGCAGGTTAGTTACATATGTATACATGTGCCATGCTGGTGTGCTACACCCATTAACTCATCATTTAACATTAGGTGTATCTCCTAATGCTATCCCTCCCCCCTCCCCCCACCCCACAACAGGCCCCAGTGCTAATATCCGGAATCTACAATGAACCCAAACAAATTTACAAGAAAAAAACAAACAACCCCATCAAAAAGTGGGCAAAGGATATGAACAGACACTTCTCAAAAGAAGACATCTATGCAGCCAAAAAACACATGAAAAAATGCTCATCATCACTGGCCATCAGAGAAGTGCAAATCAAAACCACAATGAGATACCATCTCACACCAGTTAGAATGGCCATCATTAAAAAGTCAGGAAACAACAGGTGCTGGAGAGGATGTGGAGAAATAGGAACATTTTTACACTGTTGGTGGGACTGTAAACTAGTTCAACCATTGTGGAAGTCAGTGTGGCGATTTCTTAGGGATCTAGAACTAGAAATACCATTTGACCCAGCCATCCCATTACTGGGTATATACCCAAAGGATTATAAATCATGCTGCTATAAAGACACATGCACACGTATGTTTATTGCAGCACTATTCACAATAGCAAAGACTTGGAACCAATCCAAATGTCCAACAATGATAGACTGGATTAAGAAAATGTGGCACATATACACCATGGAATACTATGCAGCCATAAAAAATGATGAGTTCATGTCCTTTGTAGGGACATGGATGAAGCTGGAAACCATCATTCTCAGCAAACTATCACAAGGACAAAAAACCAAACAGTGCATGTTCTCACTCATAGGTGGGAATTGGACAATGAGAACACATGGACACAGGAAGGGGAACATCACTTTAAAAAAAAAACAATAATGCTGATCTTTTAAAATGAGTTTGGAAATACTCTTTCTCCTTCAAGTTTTTGGAAGAATTTCAGAAGGATTGTATTATTATTTTTTAAAATGTTAGAATTCAGCAATGAAGTTTTCTGGTCCTGGGATGTTCTTTGATGGGAGATGTTTTATTATTGATATACTCTCCATACTCAGTATTGTTCTGTTCAGATTTTATCTTTCTTCTTGACTTTCTCTAGGTAAGTTGCATTTTTCTAGAAATTTATCTGCTTTTTCTAGGTTATCCAATTTGTTGGCTTGTAATTGTTTATAGTGGCCTCTTATGATCCTCTATATTTCTGTGGTATTAGTTGCAATATTTCCTCTTTCATTTCTGATTTTATTGCTTTGAGTATTCTCTCGTTTTTCTAGTCTAGCTAATGGTTTGTCAGTTTTGTTTATCTTTTCAAAGAACAAATTCTTAGTTTCATTGATCTGTTCTATTTTCTTTCACAGTCTTTTTGTATTTGAAGGACTTGTATTTGTTAACTGGCTCAAGCCTGGAAATTTGTTGAGGTGCTATGAGTCTCTATTGCTCTCATTTCTCTTCACTAGACATAGAAATTTTCTGATTACACGAATCAAATAAGACTAATAAGCTTCCCAGGGATGAATCCCACTTAAGCATGGTGAATTTTTTTGCTGTGTTTTCTTAAAAATAATATTTGCTAATATTTGGCTGAGGGTTTTTCCATCTAAGTTCATCAGGAGTATTGGTCTGCAATTTATTTTTATTATAGTGTCCTTCTCTGGTTTTGGTATCAGGGTAATGCTGGTTTTGAAAAATGAATTTGGAAGTATTCCTCTTCTTCATGTTTCTGGAAGCGTTTGAGAAGGATTGGTGTTAGTTATCTAAGTGTTTGTTAGAATCCAGCCACTGAGCCATTCAATCCTGGGTCTTTCTTTTATGAGAGACCTTTCATTGGTGATTTAATTTCCTTATTCACGATTTGTTCTAAATTTTGAATTCTTCATGATTCAGTTTTGGTACGAGTTTATCAATTTCTTCTAGGTTATCTAATTTGCTGGTGAATAATTAATTATAGTAGTATGTTATGATTTTTTAACTTCTGTGGTATCAGTTTTAATGTCTCTTCTTTCATTTCTGAGTTTGTTTTCTTTTTTCTTAGTCTATGTAAGAATTTGTTAATTTTGTTTATCTTTTCAAAAAACAATTCTTATTTTTATTGAAATTTTCAGTTTCTATTATATTATTTCTGCTCTGATCTTTGTTATTTGTTTCCTTCTGCTATCTTTGGGCTTGTATTGTTCTCTAATTTTCTCGCTCCTTTAGGCATAATATTAGGTTGCTTATTTGAGATCTTTTTTTCTTTTTTGATGTAGGCATTTATTGCTATAAGTGTCCCTCTTATAACTGCTTTTGTTGCATCCCATATGTTTTAGTATGTTATGTTTCCATTTTCATGCTACCTGATTTTAGAATATATTTCAAAGCATGGTGTACAGTGCTTTTAAAAAGAGGCTATATATAGGTATATATAAAAACAATACACACATTGTATATAAACTATGGCATGCTTGTAAAGAAAAGAGAACATAAAGTGTCTGAGGAAATAATTAGAAGAACAAGAGGATGCAAAGGGGTCTGTCAAAGATTCAGTGAAATGAGGGTTTTTGGATATTCACAGCTAATAGATTAATGCATTAGGAATGAGCAAAAAAATTGATGGTAGTCAAACAGAGGGAGGGAGGTAGATTTTGAATGATTCAAAGCAGGAGTGTTTTGAAGATAAACAGAATAACTAAAAAGAAAGACTCAGATGAAAAGCCTAGATTTAAAGCATTTGAATCAAGAGGTGGTAATCTAGGAATTAGGTTGATTTCTTTTTTTTTTAATTTGTGTAGCTTTTTATTTTATTTTTTATTATACTTTAAGTTTTAGGGTACATGTGCACAAAGTGCAGGTTTGTTACATATGTATACATGTGCCATGTTGGTGTGCTGCACCCAGAAGACTGGTTAATTTCAATAACCTAAAAATCCACAAGGTGGGAGCGTTTCACTGAAGACAGTTGTTAGAGAAACGTTAGAACCAACTTCCTTTTTTTCTCTGTCCCTTCTTCTCTGCTTTCTTCTTTTCTCCTCCTCCTCCTCCTCCCTTTACTCTCCTTCTTCTCTCTCTGTTTTTCTAATCATGAAAACAAACGAAAAAAACTATGAGCAAGAGCACAGAAAAAAGACTAGCGAAGACTGCAGTTATTGAAAGTATCAGATACAGAAAATAAAATAACTATATTTAGTATGTTTAAAGTAAAACAAAAAATTAAAAATATCATAATGGAACAGGAAACTCTAGAGAATGGCCAAGAAGATTAAAAGAAAACAAATAGAATGTCCATAGAGAATAACATAATTGAAATTTAAACCCAAATGAATGGTTTTAACAGAATATTAGTATGTTAGAAGCAGTTGAAGAGTGAACTAGTAAACTGTAATATAGGTCAGAAGGGGCTATCCAAAATGAACACAGGAATAAGGAAATGGAAAATAAGAAACATGTAGTTAGGAGACATGGAAGACAGAGGGGGAAATGCTAAAAAGTTTTAAAGAGTGTTTCAGAAGGAGAGAAAGGAGATCATGAATCAGTGTATATATTTTTTAAATTTTATTTTATGTTCTGGGATACACGTGCAGAAAGTATAGGTTGATACATAGGTAAATGTGTGCCATGGTGGTTTGCTGCACCCATCAACCCATCACCTAGGTATGAGGCCCTGCATGCATTAGCTATTTGTCCTGATGGTCTCCTACCCCCTGTCCCCCTGAGAGGCCCTGGTGTGTGTTGTTCCCCTCCATGTACCCACGTGTTTGTCCTGATGGTCTCCTACCCCCTGTCCCCCTGAGAGGCCCTGGTGTGTGTTGTTCCCCTCCATGTACCCACGTGTTTGTCCTGATGGTCTCCTACCCCCTGTCCCCCTGAGAGGCCCTGGTGTGTGTTGTTCCCCTCCATGTATCCACGTGTTTGTCCTGATGGTCTCCTACCCCCTGTCCCCCTGAGAGGCCCTGGTGTGTGTTGTTCCCCTCCATGTATCCACGTGTTTGTCCTGATGGTCTCCTACCCCCTGTCCCCCTGAGAGGCCCTGGTGTGTGTTGTTCCCCTCCATGTATCCACGTGTTTGTCCTGATGGTCTCCTACCCCCTGTCCCCCTGAGAGGCCCTGGTGTGTGTTGTTCCCCTCCATGTATCCACGTGTTTGTCCTGATGGTCTCCTACCCCCTGTCCCCCTGAGAGGCCCTGGTGTGTGTTGTTCCCCTCCATGTATCCACGTGTTTGTCCTGATGGTCTCCTACCCCCTGTCCCCCTGAGAGGCCCTGGTGTGTGTTGTTCCCCTCCATGTATCCACGTGTTTGTCTTGATGGTCTCCTACCCCCTGTCCCGCTGAGAGGCCCTGGTGTGTGTTGTTCCCCTCCATGTACGCACGTGTTTGTCCTGATGGTCTCCTACCCCCTGTCCCCCTGAGAGGCCCTGGTGTGTGTTGTTCCCCTCCATGTATCCACGTGTTTGTCCTGATGGTCTCCTACCCCCTGTCCCCCTGAGAGGCCCTGGTGTGTGTTGTTCCCCTCCATGTATCCACGTGTTTGTCCTGATGGTCTCCTACCCCCTGTCCCCCTGAGAGGCCCTGGTGTGTGTTGTTCCCCTCCATGTATCCACGTGTTTGTCCTGATGGTCTCCTACCCCCTGTCCCCCTGAGAGGCCCTGGTGTGTGTTGTTCCCCTCCATGTATCCACGTGTTTGTCCTGATGGTCTCCTACCCCCTGTCCCCCTGAGAGGCCCTGGTGTGTGTTGTTCCCCTCCATGTATCCACGTGTTTGTCCTGATGGTCTCCTACCCCCTGTCCCCCTGAGAGGCCCTGGTGTGTGTTGTTCCCCTCCATGTATCCACGTGTTTGTCCTGATGGTCTCCTACCCCCTGTCCCCCTGAGAGGCCCTGGTGTGTGTTGTTCCCCTCCATGTATCCACGTGTTTGTCCTGATGGTCTCCTACCCCCTGTCCCCCTGAGAGGCCCTGGTGTGTGTTGTTCCCCTCCATGTATCCACGTGTTTGTCCTGATGGTCTCCTACCCCCTGTCCCCCTGAGAGGCCCTGGTGTGTGTTGTTCCCCTCCATGTATCCACGTGTTTGTCCTGATGGTCTCCTACCCCCTGTCCCCCTGAGAGGCCCTGGTGTGTGTTGTTCCCCTCCATGTATCCACGTGTTTGTCCTGATGGTCTCCTACCCCCTGTCCCCCTGAGAGGCCCTGGTGTGTGTTGTTCCCCTCCATGTATCCACGTGTTTGTCCTGATGGTCTCCTACCCCCTGTCCCCCTGAGAGGCCCTGGTGTGTGTTGTTCCCCTCCATGTATCCACGTGTTTGTCCTGATGGTCTCCTACCCCCTGTCCCCCTGAGAGGCCCTGGTGTGTGTTGTTCCCCTCCATGTATCCACGTGTTTGTCCTGATGGTCTCCTACCCCCTGTCCCCCTGAGAGGCCCTGGTGTGTGTTGTTCCCCTCCATGTACCCACGTGTTTGTCCTGATGGTCTCCTACCCCCTGTCCCCCTGAGAGGCCCTGGTGTGTGTTGTTCCCCTCCATGTATCCACGTGTTTGTCCTGATGGTCTCCTACCCCCTGTCCCCCTGAGAGGCCCTGGTGTGTGTTGTTCCCCTCCATGTACCCACGTGTTTGTCCTGATGGTCTCCTACCCCCTGTCCCCCTGAGAGGCCCTGGTGTGTGTTGTTCCCCTCCATGTACCCACGTGTTTGTCCTGATGGTCTCCTACCCCCTGTCCCCCTGAGAGGCCCTGGTGTGTGTTGTTCCCCTCCATGTACCCACGTGTTTGTCCTGATGGTCTCCTACCCCCTGTCCCCCTGAGAGGCCCTGGTGTGTGTTGTTCCCCTCCATGTACCCACGTGTTTGTCCTGATGGTCTCCTACCCCCTGTCCCCCTGAGAGGCCCTGGTGTGTGTTGTTCCCCTCCATGTACCCACGTGTTTGTCTTGATGGTCTCCTACCCCCTGTCCCCCTGAGAGGCCCTGGTGTGTGTTGTTCCCCTCCATGTATCCACGTGTTTGTCTTGATGGTCTCCTACCCCTGTCCCGCTGAGAGGCCCTGGTATGTGTTGTTCCCCTCCATGTATCCATGTGTTTGCTCTCATTGTTCAACTCCCTCTTACGACTGAGAACATGTGGTGTTTGGTTTTCTGTTCCTGTGTTAGTTTGCTGAGGGTGATGGCTTCCAGCTTCATCCATGTCCCTGCAAAGAACATGATCTCATTTATTTTAACGGCTGCATAGTATTCCATGGTGAATATATATCACATTTTCTTTATCCAATATATCATTGATGGGCATTTGGGTTGATTCCATGTATTTTCTATCGTAAATAGTGCTGCAATAATCATATGTGTGCATGTATATGTATGTGTGTGTGTATATATATGTAGTTATAATATGTATATATATGTGTATATATATGTGTGTATATATATACACATATATATACATTTACATATATAATATCTGTATATATGTATATATATGTGTATATATATGTATGTATATGTATATATATATATTTTTTTGAGATGGAGTTTTGCTCTTGTTGCCCAGGCTGGAGTGCAATGGTATGATCTTGGCTCACTTTGACCTCTGCCTCCTGGGTTCCAGCGATTCTCCTGCCTCAGCCTCCAAAGTAGCTGGTATTACAGGTGTGCACCACTATACCTGGCTAATTTTTTTATTTTTAGTAGAGATGGAGTTTCCCCATGTTGGCTAGGCTGGTCTCAAACTCCTGTCCTCAGGTGATCCACCCGCCTTGGCCTCCCAAAGTGCTGGGATTACAGGTGTGAGCCACTGCACCCAGCCCTGTGCATGTATCTTTATAATAGAATGATTTATATTCCTTTGGGCATATATCCAGTAAAGGGATTGCTGGGGCAAATGGCATTTCTGGTTCTAGATCTTTGAGGAATTTTCACACTGCCTTCCACAGTGAATGAACTAATTTACATTCCCACAAACAGTGTAAAAACATTCCTATTTCTCCACAGCCTTACCAGCAACTGTTGTTTCTGGAGTTTTTGATAATCACCATTAAGACTGGTTTGAGATAGTATCTCATTGTGGTTTTGAGTTGCATTTCTCTAATGATCAGTGATTTGAGCTTTTTTTCATATGTTTGTTGGCCACATCCATGTCTTCTTTTGAGAATTGTCTGTTCATGTCCTTTGGCCAATTTTTGATGTTTTTTTTTTTTCTTGTAAATTTAAGTTCTCCATAGGAGCAGGTGCTCTAATTGCTTGGAGGTCTGCCTATGTGTGGAGATGAGAGGGCCTCACTGCACTATAATCTCAGCACAGGAAGGTTGGGGAAGCTCAGGCTGCTGATCCAGTCAAGTGGGTACTCCACATACCTGGAAATCTGCCTGGCCATAGACTGGAGAGGGCCCCACTGCACCACAACCTATGTTTATAAACGGTGGGGTAGCTCAGGATGCTGGTCCAGGTAGACAGGTGCTCCAATGCCTGAATTTCTGCCTGGGGGTGAAGCAGAGAAAGCCCTGCTGTATCACATTCTCAGGGGAACAGGCTGGGGCACCCAGCAATGACACCTGCAGACTGGTTGTAGGTCTCCAAGCTGGCCCTGGCTGCAAGTTTCATCACCTGGGAGAAATTACAGCTGTAGCAGCTTTTCTGTTGCCCCGAGGCTGCGATGGGGGAAAGCACAATTCCAGCACATACTGCTGAGGTGTTTTCCACAATATGGCTGTGAAGGTCCCTACCAAGCCCCAAAGCAGTTGTTCCAATCTTTGGCCTGAGACTAAAATGCCTGTGCAGGCATTCTGCTGGGTCACAAAAAGAAAAAAAAAAGCTGACTTTGCATGCATCCAGATTGAAAATGGCATCTTGCTCTTACTTCCTGGTCTGGGAAAATGTCTGCAGCTGTTCCCAGTGTCTTTGCTTCACAGCATCTCCAAGCCTCTCCCCATGTTGACTCCAGGCCTTGGGAGAAACAAAATGCAACAACTTGGCTGGGGTTGCTCAGATTCACAGTGAAAATGTCAGTTACAGAGGGAGGCTCTCTGCCTCTCTCACATACTAGGACTTCGCTCACTTTTATAAGCTGGTTGCTGTCATGTTGACTGTTTGCTCACATTCTCCTTCTTGGGATCTATGATGTCCTTCATGATTCTGGTGGATTCCCATTTTCCTTCTTGACTTAGAGCTCACAGAGTTGACCTTTGTGCACTCTCTTGCTATTTCTAAGTGGCCGAGGCATACTAAAAGCCTCTAATTTATCATCTTTGGAAAAAAACAAAACAGGGAAGTTTGCTTTTGCAAATTGTTGTTTGTGGGGGTCTGTCCTGCAGACCCCAGCTGCACGAGGGATGAATAATGTACTCAGACACCAATTATTCAGTGAAAGAGCCGCTAGGGGGCTGGGCCGTGCACAGAAAGAGTTCTGGCAGCCACGAGCCCTGACTAGCTAGCCCTGCCAGCATTTATTGAAAAAACATTAAATGACAGGGGCTTTTAGTCAACACAAATAGAGGGTAATTAACCTGGTCACCCTCCCCCGAGAGAGAGCCATCCTGCCTGTGAATGATCAAAGGTTGGCTTCAGGACCACATGAGTAAACAAGTTATTTAGATAAACTCCCTTACATTCCTTTGCACCTACTTTAAGCTATTTACTCAAGGAAGGATTAGGCCGCCTTCATTCAGATCTATTACTGAAGCTATACAACACCCCCAGCCTTCCATGAAGGTTTGTGTCGATTTCTTATAACTATCTTTAAAATTTTTCCCACCAGCCTGACTGAACTCCCACAGTTGTTGCTACTTTTTGAAATTGAAATACTTCTAGGAAGACTGATTAAGAACAATATAGAGAAAAGACATATTTTTCAAACTCCTGATGAAGAAGAAACATCCGTATTAATATATAGCTAATAAAAAGATAAGAGATGTTGTGGAAAACTTCATACAAGGGTGCCCACTCTCAGAACTTCTATTCAACATAGTACTGGATGTCCTAGCCAGAGCAATTAGGCAAAAGAAAGAAATAAAAGGCATGAAAATTGGAAAGGAAGAAGTTAAATTGTTTCTGTTTGCAGTTGACATGATCTTATATATAGAAAACACCAATAACTCTGCCAAAAAATTTAGAATTCATAAATGAATTTAGTAAAGTTGCAGGATACAATGTGAACATACAAAATTCAGTAGCATTTCTACACATCAACAACAAACTATACAAAAAAAGAAATCAAGAAAACAATCCTATTTATAATAGCAACAAAAAATACTTAGATGTAAATTTAAACAAAGAGGTGAATGATCTTTACACTGAAAACTACAAAACATTGATGAAAACAATTGAAGAAGCCACAAATAAATGGAAAGATATATCATGTTCATGGATTGGAAAAAGTAATATGTTTGAAATGTCCATACTATCCAAAGTGATGTACATATTGAATGCAATCTCTATCAAAATTCCTATGACATTTTCCCACAGAAATAGAAAAACAACTCTCAAATCTGTATGGAATCACAAAAAACTCTGAAAAGCCAAAATAATCTTGATCGAAAAAAGCAAGGCAGGAGATATCACATTACCTGACTTCAAATTATACTACATAGCTATAGCAATCGAAACACCATGGTACTGGCATAAACGCAGACACATAGACCAATTACACAGAATAAAGAGCCCATAAATAAATCTACATATTATAGTCAATTGACTTTCAACAAAGGTGCCAGGAACACACATGGGGAAAGAACAGTCTCTTCAAAAAATGGTGTTGAGAAAACTGAATGTCCACAAGATTGATCTTAGGCCCTTATTTCATACCATATAAAAATATAAATTCAAAATAAGTTAGACTTAAATGTAAGACCTAGCACTATAGAACTCCTGGAAGAAAACAGGGGAATAACTCCAAGACATTGGTCTGGGCAATAATATTTTATGATATGACTCTAAAGCACAGGCAAGAAAAGCAACAAAACACAAATGGAATAGCATCAACCTAAAAAGCTTCTGCACAGCAAAAGAAAGTCAACAGAGTGAAGTGATAACCTACAAAATGGGAGAAATTATCTGCAAACTATACATTTGATAAGAGGCTAATGTCCAAAATATCTTAGGAACTCAAACAACACAATAATAAGAAAACAAGGAACCCTAATGAAAAATTGACAAAGGATCTAAATAGACATTTCTCAAAAGAAGACATACAAATGGCCAACAGATATATAAAAATGCTAATTATCACTGATCATCAGAGAAATGCATATTAAAACTACAATAAAATGCCATTTCACATCCGTTAGAATGGCTGTTACAGAAAAGGCAGAAGATACCAAGTGTTGGAGAGGATGTGGAGAAAAGGAAAACCTTGTAATTGTTGAGAATGTAAACTATTTCAGCCATTGTAAAAGACAGTATAAATGATTCTGTAAAAATAGAATTACCATATGATTCAGTAATGCTATTTCTGGGCATATATTAAAAAGATATCAAATCAGTGTGTCAGTGAGTTATCTGTACTCCCATATTTATTGTAGCATTATTCACAACAGCCAAGATGTGGAATTAACTTAAGTATCCATCGACACATGAGTGGATGAAGAAAATGTGGTACACATACACAATAGAATAGTATACAACCTTAAAAAATAAAAAAAGTATCATTTGTGACAACATGAATGAACCGGGAGGACATTATACTGAGTAAAATAATCCAGGCACAGAAAGCCAGATACTGCATAATCTCACTTGTATGTGGAGGTCTAAGAAGGCTGAACACATAGAAGTACAGAGTAGAATGATGGTTACCAGGAGGATTGGGTAGATGTTGGTCAAAGGGTACAAAATTGCATTGTACAGGAGGAATGAATTCAACAGATCTATTGTGCAATATGGTGACTATAGTGGATAACAATGTATTGTTTTTAAATTTAATTTTTGTGGGTACATAGCAGGTGTATACATTTATGGGGTACATGAAATATTTTGGTACAGGCATGCAATGTACAATAAGTACATAATGGAAAATTGGATATTCATCCCCTCAAGCATTTATTATTTGTGTTATAAACAATCCAATTATACTCTTTCAGTTATTTTTAAATGTATAATTGAATTTTAGACTGCAATCCCCCTGTTGTGCTATCAAATACTAGGTCTTATTAAATCTTTCTTTTTTTGTACCCATTAACCATCCCCCACCTCTCCCAACCCCCACTACCCTTCACAGCCTCTGGTATACTTCCTTCTACTCTCTATCTCCATGAGTTCAGTTGTTTGCTTTTTGGATTCCACATATAAGTGATAACACATAGTATTTGTCTTTTTGTGCCTGGCTTATTTCACTTAACATAATGACCTCCAGTTTCATCTATGTTGTTGCAAATGACAGGGTCTCATTCCTTTTTATGGCTGAATAATACTTCATTGTATATAAGTACCACATTTTCTTTATTCATTCATCTGTTGATGGACACTTAGGTTGACTCCATAACTTCGCTATTGTAAATAGTGCTGCAACAAATACGGGAGTGCAGATATCTCTTCGATATACTGATTTCTTTTTTGGGGGGTATATATGCAGCAGTGGGATTGCTGGACCACATGGTAGCTCTATTTTTACTTTTTTGAGGAGCCTTCAAACTGTTCTCCATAGGGGATGTACTTGTATTCTTCAAAATTGCTAAGAGTAGATTTTTAAGTGTTCTCATAAAAAAAGATAAGCATGTAAGGTAATGCATATGTTAGCTTAACATGGCTATTTTACAATGAATATATATTTCAAAACATATAATTTTATTTATCTGATAAAATAAATATAAAATATGAAACTTTATATTAATAAATTTGACAATCATAAGGAATGGTCAAGTTCCTATGAAAAATACCTACTTTTATGAAATGATCAGAAAAAAACTAGAAAAACTGAGTAGTTTTTTTTTCATTGTAGAAATTTTATTTAGAAAATTTTTTTTTCCTGTAGAAAGAACTCCAGGGCTAGGTGGATGCAATATTTAATAAAGAAATATTACCAAATATTTAATAAAGAAATAATGCCAATGTTACATGAATATTTTTAGAGAATTGGGAAGACATAACACTTTCCAACTTGTTTTATATGGTGGTACCTCCATGATAGTAAAACCATACAAGGATATTAAAAGAAATGAAATTACAGACTAATATACTACATAATAATTCTAAACAAAAATGTTTGCAAATATAATCCAACAATATACTCCAAAGAAAAATACATCATGACTAAGTGCAGTAATTTCAAGAATGTATGGTTTAAAATTAGAAAACCAAACAATGAAATTAACCACATTAACTGAATAAAAGAAAAAAATATGGTTATTTCAATAGCTGTGGGAAAAGCACTTGTTCACATTTGAAACTATTTGTAATAATAACAAACTAGGAATAGAAGAGAACTGATGTAAATATCTTAATATATACACAAAAACTACTCTCAACATTATAAATAATCATGACATATTAAACAGTTTCATTCTAACATGAGGAACAAGGTACACATGTCCAGCTCAACACTTTATTCATCATTAAAATAATACTGTGCAGTAAAATTAACAAGGAAAATTTTAAAAAGAACACAAAAGAAAACTACAAATCCTTATCCCTGATCAACACAGATGTAAAAATACTCAACAAAATTCTAGCAAACTGAAGCTAACAACACATCAAAAAGATAATTCATCATGATCAAGTGGGCTTTATTCCAGGGGTGCTTGAATGGTTCAAAATAGACAAATCAATAAACATGATTCACCACATAAATGGAACTGAGAACAAAAACCCTATGATCATCTCATTAGATGCAGAATAAGCATTTGATAAAATCCAACATCTGTTTATGATAAAAACCCTCAACAATATAGGTATAGATGGAGTATACCTCAAAAAATGAGTCATCTATGACAAAGCCACAGCCAACATCATCCTGGATGGGCAAAAGTTAGAAGTGTTGCTTCTAGAAACTGGAAAAAAGCAAGGATGTTCACCTTCATCATTCCTATTCAATACAGTACTGGAAGTGCTAGCCAGAACTATCAGAAAGGAGAAAGAAATAAAAGGTATACAAATTAGAAAAGAAGTCAAATGATCTCTGCTCACTGATGACATGACTGTAGGCCTAGAAAACCCTAAAGTCTTCAGAAGACTCCTAGACTTGATACACGACTTCAGTAAAGTCTTGGGATAAACAAGCCACAAAAATCAGTTGTATTTCTATACACCAAATACATTCAAGCTGTTTGAATGTTTGTTGAGATTAATTTGTTGAGAACCAAATTAAGAACTCAACTGAATTTACAATAGCCATGAAAAATACCTAGGAATGCATAACTATATAAATGAAAGATCTCTACAAGGAGAACTACAAAATACTAATGAAAGAAATTATAGATGACATAAACAAATGGAAAAACATCCCATGCTCATGGATTAGAAAAATCAATAGCTAAAGTGACCATATCACCCATACAATCTATAGAGTTAATGCAATTCCCATCAAATTACCAACGTTATTTCTCACAAAATTAAAAAAAAATCCTAAAGTTCACATGGAGCCAAAAAAAGATCCCTAATAGCCAAAGCACTTCTAAGCAAAAAACAAAGCAAAACAAAACAAAGCCCCCAGAGCAAAAGACAAATATGGTTCCTACAAATGAAGACCAATGGTAATGCTTATCTGTTCGTGGTAGAAGTGTAAATTGGTAGGATTGTTAAAAAAAATAGTGTAGCATTTCATGGTAATGTTGAATAACTCAATAATTTTACTTTTAAATATATACCCCAGAGGATATCTTGCACATATGAACCAGGTGATTTACAAAAGAATGTTCATAGCAGCATTGTTTGTAATGGTTAAAAACTGGAAAAATTTCAAGTGTTCATCAACAATAGATCTGAGGAATGAAGTCCGACATATTCATGTAGTGGAATATCATATAGCAATACGAATGGATGAATTACACCAACATTCAACAAGGTTGTAATATGCAAACTTATTATTGAATCAAGGTGAAAGTACCTTCTGATAAAGGTGAAAGAACTTCTACAAAATAATTTCATTTATATAAGTTTCAAAGAACCAAACTAAATAATGCATCACTTGAGAACCATTAAAGTCTATTAAAAAACACATACAATGCAATGGAAGGACAGTGGTCATATCCAGCAGGAAATAAAGGAGAACACAATTGGCAAGGAGCACCCAATGGGAGTCTAAGGCACTAGTAAAGTTCTATTTTGTTTCCAATCCTCCAAGACATCTAGTTTTTTTATTTTTCTGAGACATGGTGGCCCAGGCTGGAGTACGATAGTGTGATCTTGGCTCACTGCAACCTGTGTCCTGGGCTTAAGTGATCCTCCCACCTCGGCCTCCCAAAGTACTGGGATTACAGGTGTGAGCCACCATGGCCGGCAAATGTTCTATTTCATATCCTGTATGGTGGACACATAGATGTTCTCTTTTTTATTATTCCTTGAACACTAAGTATATGTTTATTTATATTCTCTGTGGAATACCTCCTTATTTCTCAGTCAATTCAGGATACCTCCTTACCCCCATCCCCTTTTTACTTTTCGTCATGTCATATAGTTTCTGAAATATAGAAAAGCTTACATATTATCCTGTCATCAAAGCGGCATGGAGGCATTTGGTAGAATAAATATTATTTGTTGATTATTCATCCTTTCCTTTCACTTTACAGAGTCAATCAAACACCAGGTCATGTTAATTTTACTGTCACGCACATATCTTGAATTTGCCTCCTTATCTCTATTTCCACTATTCAGTTCAGACCTTGATAATCACTCATCTGCATTGTAGTTGCATTTTTCTAATTATTCTGTTTCTAGTCTTGTTCTAAAATCTTTTTTCCTCCCACAATGCAGCTAGAGTGGTCAATTTAAAGCATCATCTATCTCAAGAACAAAAAACCAAACACCGCATGTTTTCACTCATAGGTGGGACTTGAACAATGAGAACACTTGGACACAGGAAGGGGAATATCACACACCGCGGCCTGTTGTGGGGTGGGGGGAGAGGGGAGGGATAGCATTAGGAGATATACCTAATGTAAATGATGAGTTAATGGGTGCAGCACACCAACACGGCACATGTATACATATGTAACCTGCACGTTGTGCACATGTACCCTAGAACTTAAAGTATAATAAAAATAAATATTAAAAAAAGAAGCATCATCTTTATTAAAACATTTAACGGTCCTACTATTCCTTATGCTATAAATTTCTTATAATTTAATAAATATTTTTCCATAATTGTGACTCTCTTCTATAGCTCTTGTTACTCCCGATATTCTTCTAATTATCAGGCAGCAGTACAAAGCTGCTTACACCTCTTTACACATCTCTTTATTTTAGGCCTCCTTGCATTTGCTCATGCTGTTCCTTTTTGTTTGAAAAACTTACACATTTCTTCATTTGGTCAATCCTTGCACACTTTCAAGATTCATTTGAGGCCTCATTGACTTTGGAAACCTTCCCTGTAATCTTGTATTATTAATTTATCTTAGTTTTCACTTATTAGCTCTTATTAGATTACTGTCCTTACGTGTGTAACTCTCCCACTAGACAGTAAGCTTTTGGACGGCAGAGATGATGTCTCATTCATCTTTGCATCTTTAGCGCCCAGCCTGGTTTCTGGTTTCCTATAGTCACTCAGTGTTGAGCTAAACCATATTTTTGGAGCAATGACTTGACAATGCAGTATCATGATGGAACTATCACAGATGGACAGAATGAGTCTCTTGATTCCTACATTTATTTTTCTATTGATATAGCTGATTTAAAAAGAAACCTGTTAATTATATAATCATGTAATTACCCTGACATAACATCAAACTCCATAAATTACTTTCCATCTCTGCCTCTCTCTCTTTCTATATATATAACATATACATGTTACAAAAATGCACAGGGAATAAATATGAGCAAAATGGTAAGAAGTGCAGGTCCTAGGTCAGATTTCTTGCATTTAGTTGCAGGCTACACCAACTTTAGAGAAAAGATTTAGTGAAAAATAAAAATGAATCATTAATACACCACTTGGCACAGATAAGTTATTCAGTAAACATTAACATATGTGCATTTATGTTTAACCATGGGTTTAAGTGATTATCCAGAAATCTCCCTCTCTTTGACTATGTTTGAATATTAGATACTTCTTAATTTATCTTTGCTCTGAATTTGTTTTTTTTCACTCGTTGTATACTCATGGACCATTTTATGTGTTTCAGGAATTGATATTTTATTTAAAAACTGTTACTATAGAAAATTAACTTTTGGATAGTCCTGTTCAGACTAAAACTATCATTTGTAAGATCTGTATTACTGCAATCATTGGTGTTAATACTTTGCATTAATTAAAATTTTTTATGGACATATAATAAGTATTTCTCCCACCTTGATTTTTGTGGCTATCATTTTATTCATTCCATTGCTTTTTTCTCCCAGTTTGCTATGAGGAAGTTGATAAGTACGTAGGCAAAACGATAGATTGTTTTGGCAGCTTCAGTGTATTTAAGTGCCTGTGATGAGGCTATGGTTTATTTTTCTAATGTAGAATTCATAATGTAGAATAAATTTTAAAAACATAAATTTTATTCCTGCACATTGTGCACATGTACCCTAGAACTTAAAGTATGATAAAAATATACATATATAACAAATTAAAAACATAAATTTCTTTGCACAGCTTTTTCTTTCTGCTATTTTTATTCAATGATTATTTGCTTCCCTTGTTATTTAAGAGCTGACTTTTGGCTTCATGGCCAAAAATAAAATTCTTAGTAGGAGAAAGTAAATGTGATTTACTGATGAAGATGCCACCCCCAAGTGACCCATTAACCACTTTCCCTGCGTTACCCTGGGACAACCAAAGTGATTCCAGGAGACAATTCCCATGACAAGTGATTTCTGGCTGGCAATGCCAGGTCTCTGAAGTTCCACTTGGCCACTGCCCAAGAACAATTAGTGCCGTTAGTTAACTACCTTTACTATGACAGCATTTTGTGTAACTCTTTGCACAGGGGAGTTTTATGCAACAGACAGAAACTTTCTGAGTTGTTCTGATTGCCTGAAGATGCCCTGTTTTAGAGGAGCAAAATTTTCCCTGTTTACTGTGTTTCAGTGTTAAAAATATGAATGCATTGTCAGGATTAGCTCTGGCAATGGTAGTTAAATGCAGATATCCAGACAAAGGAGGTTATAGATTGGAGACTTTGTGCTACTTGATAATGAAGCCTTGGTTTTGATTTTATTTATTTTTAAGTTGAAAAACAAAACACACACACACAATACAAAACATGGCACAAAACAAACTTATAGTTTGATTTTTGTAAACATCCCTGTAATCATCACATAAGTCAAGATATAGGACTTTGCCAGCCCTGAAGCATGTGACTCTCCTCAACTGCAGCCACCTTTCTCCTGAAAAGTGACGATAAACATGACTGTTCCAGTAGAGGCGTCCTTGCATTTTCACGGCTGTGTCCTTCATGCATGCATTCCAAGACACTATGATTTAGTCTTGCCCATTTGTTTTCATTTGTCGTGTTTTTAAAATCCCTTCTAACATACAGGTTTCTTTTCAAAGTTTTCTTTCCCATACAATATATTTGTTGAAAAATTTGGGATTTTTGTCACTTGGTGTCCACACTGTGAATTTTGCTGGTGAGACTCTCAGTGAAGATCGACATTTTCACTATCCTTTGCGTTTTATCCAAATGACAGTTGAATCCAGAGGTTTGACTAGGACACGTGCTTGATTCTATTTTTGGTAAGATTGTAGGTGATGGTGTGTTCATTCACCAGGAGGTTTAATTATGGCTTTTATCTTAGCACCTACTACTACTTTCTACTAACACCTGTTAATACAAAGAAAGTTAATATTTTCTACTAGCACCTGTTAATCCTCAATATGTACATGTAGGATATGTATAGACACACGTGTGTCTATGCATATAATATATAATAAGTACATATTATATATTTTTTAAGAGAAGGAAAGAGCATGTGAGAGAGCACATTGCTTATTTATGTTGATAATACTGATTCTAATGTAACTCAGTGGGCTGCTTCTTTCCTTGTCTTATTCCATATCTGTATCTCTGTCCTTTCACAGTGAGAATCTGGGGTTCTAGCAATACAAATATATTAATATTTACTCATTGGCTTAATCTTACAATGCACATACATTTGTTTCAGAATTGTTATATTTATACTAATATAAAAAGAAAAAATCCTATCATGAAGATTTAATAATTTTTTGCAGATATTTTATTTTTTCAAGCAATAGTATGTAGTCAAAGTATGTTCAAAAGTCAATTTGAAATAAGAGAACAGTCAAAAATTAATCAGATTAATTATTATTTTCCCCTTAAGTTTGATTATGTCATTCATTCATTTGAAATATATTTGGATTCACTTGTTTCTCATTGCATTCGGTTTTAGAGTCTTGTAATAACTTATCTTTGCTTGCTTAATATCACACTTTGAGAGTGTAAAAGATTAACTTAATTAAAAATGTACAATTATGCACAAAAGCATTCACAGAGCAATATCCCATTCTCCCATATTTCTTTCACCAAATTTCCCTCTAATTCTTTATAGATAATACATGTTTTCAGATTCTGGTACATTTTGGCTACATTTGTTTGTTTCATGCTTGTATTTTTGGTGTATTATCTAAGAATGCATTGCCAATCCACAGCAATGTTTTATTTCCATGTTTTCTTCTAAGCATGTATGGTTTTCACTCGTATATTTACATTATTGATCCAATCTAGATTTTGTATATAATGTGAGGTAGGGGTCCAGCTTCATTTTTTTTGCATATGAATATTCAGTATTCCCAGCACTTTTTGTTGAAAAAGCTATTATTCCCCACTGAATAATGTTGGCTCCCTTGTAAAAAAAAGTCAGCTGAATAGAGATGTTTTGCTTAGTCTATGTAAAAGTATATTAATTTTATTGATATTTTAAAAGAACCAACTTTTAGTTTTGTTGATCTCTGTATAATTTTTTAATTCTCAATTTCATTTATCTCTGCTCTAATGTTTATTTCCTTCCTTCTGCTAGCTCTGGATTTTGTTTGCTCTTCCTTTTATGGTTTATTGAGTAAAGTTTGGTTATTGATTTGACATGTTTCTTTTTTAAAATGTAGGTGTTACAACTCTGAGCACTGCTTTTGATATATCACACCCATCTTGTTATATCTTTGTTTTCAATCGTCTCTAAACATTTTCTAATTTCCCTCATGATTTGTTCTTTGATTCATTGGTTGGTAAATACTGTGTTGTTTAATTTCCAAATATTTGTAAATTTTCTAGTTTTTCTTTTGTTATTGATATCTTATTTCATTCCATTGTGGTCAGTGAAGATACTTTGCATGATTTCAATCTTTTTAAGTTTATTGAGCTTATCTTATGGCCTAACATATCATCTGTGCTGGAGAATGTTCCATGTTCACTTGAGAAGAATGTGTATTCTGCAGTTTTTGAGAGAAGTGTTATCTATAGTTATTGCTTATAGTTTTATTCAAATCCTCTAATTCCTCCCTTGATATTTGCTCTGGATGTTTTGTCCTTTATTAAAGTTGGGTTTTAAAATGCCCAACAATTTTCGTGGAATTGTCTGTCTCTCCCTTTAATTCTCTCAATGGTTACATTATATATTTTGGAGCCCTGTTAGTTGGTGTACATATATTTATAATTGTTATATCTTCTTGTTTAATTTTGAAATCAATATATACTGTTCTTTGTATTTTGTAACAGTTTTTGACTTAAAGTCTATTTTGTCTGATATAAGTATATTTGCCTCAGATCTCCTTTGGTTATTACTTACATGGAATATTTTCTCCCATCCTTTCATTTCAACTCATTGTGTATTTTGATCTAAAGTGAGTATCTTGTGGACAATATAGTTGGATCATTTTTTAAAAATCCATTCTGTCAATCTCTTTCTTTGGATTGGAGAGTTTAATTCATTTGTATTTAATGTAATTACTGATAAAGAGGGGCTTACTCCTACCATTTTGCTTTTGTTTTCTGTATGTCTTATACCTCCTTTGTTCCTAATTTCCTCAATTATCGCCTTCTTTTGTGTTTAGTTGCTATTTTGTAGCATATCACTGTGTTTACCCTCTGCTTTCCTTTTCTGTATTTTCAAAAGATATTAACTTAGTGGTTACCATGGGGATTTACAATTAACATTCTTAATTTGGAACAATTTAGAATAAATTGAAACAACTTCAATAGTATACAAAATCTCTATTATTATTTAGTTTCCTATGAATTTCTTTATGTTGGTAATTTCACAAACCACATCTTTATACATCATGCTTCATTAACATAGATTTATAGTCATTATTTTACACATTTGTTTTAAAACATATAGAATATTTAAAAAGACTTACAAAAAATATGATAATTGCTTTTATATTTACCTATGTAGTTATCCTTACTGGAGTTATTTCTTTATGTGGTTTTGAGTTACTTTCTAGTGTTTTTTAGTTTGTATCTGAAGGAGTCTTTTTTTTTAAAAGTGTATCTTGAAGTACAGCCTACCAAACATGAACTTTTAAAGCTTGCTTGCTTTTCTTTCTTTCTTTTCTTTCTTTTTCTTTCTTTCTTTCTTTCTTTCTTTCTTTCTTTCTTTCTTTCTTTCTTTCTTTCTTTCTTTCCTTTTCTTTCTTTCTTTCTTTCTTTCTTTTTCTTTCTCTCCCTTTCTTTCTCTCTCTTCTTTCTTTCTTTCTCTTTCTCTCTCTCTTTTTTTTTTAATCTGGGAATGTGTAATTTATCCTTAATACTTGAAGGGGCATCTTCCAAGTTACAGAATTTTTGGTTGACAGTGTTTTTTTCTTTCAGAACTTTAAAATGTCATTCTAAGCTCTTCTGGCACCCATGGTTTATAATGAGCTCTCTGCTGTCAAACTTACTGAGGATCCTTTGTAAATGATGCATTGCCTTTTTCCTAAGCTCTTCTGGCATCCATGGATTATAATGCACTATCTGCTGTCAAACTTATTGAGGATCCTTTGTAAATGACGCGTTGCCTTTCTCTTGCTGCTTTCAAACATTCGCTTTGCCTTTTGACAATTTGAAACGTAGTGTGTCTTGGTGTGAATATCTTTGTATATTTCCTTGATGAAGTGCACTGAGCTTTTTGAATGTATATATTTGTTTTTAGTGAAATTTGGGAAGCTTTCAAACACATTTCTTCAAATAGTCTTCCTGCCCCTCACTCCCCACCAGGATTCTGTATGTAGGCATTCTTGATGTTGTTACACAGGTCTTTAGGCTCTATTCTTTTTTGTTGTCATTCTTTCATTTTCCTGCTCTTCAGACTGAATCATTTCACTTGATCTATCAAGTTCACTGATTCTTTTTTCCAGCTGCTCAAATCTTCTATTGGAACCCTAAGTAAAAAGTAACTTTTTAATTAGTTATTGTACTTTTCAGCCTCAGAATTTTTTTGTACCTTTTAAAAAATTCATATTTCTTATTTATTTATATGTCATTCTCTTGGGTTTCTTTAGCTCTTTAAGTTTATTTAAGACAGTTATATAAAGTTTTTGTCTAATATTTCCAATATCTGCTTACTCAGGGAGAGTCTCATTTATTTCTTCTGTAAATGGGCCATAGTTTTGTGTTTATTTGCATGCTTCTTAATTTTTGTTGAAAACTGGACATTTTGGATATTATAATGTGTTTATTCTGGAAACCAAATTTTTCCCTTCTTCAAGGTTATTTTTGTTACCCACTGTGGGATGTAGTTTTTATTTGTTTAGTAACTTTTGTAAACTGGTTTTGTAATATCTGCATTCTTTTTTATGTTTGATGTTTGAAGGCGGCTCGGTTCCTTTAGCTTGTGTTCATTTAGCATTTAGTGATTTAAAAATGATTTCCTTGACTGCAAGGAGCCAAAAAAGAAAAAAATATGAAAAACATCTCCCAGACTTTGCTTACTGACTCTGTATTGGGGCTCCCTCAACACTTAGTGGAGCCATATATAATTCTGCCTTAGCCTTCATTTTTTCTTGCTGTGAGCCTAGGAATTACTAAAGGTGAGTTATTAGTGTCTTCTCAGGCCTTTTCTGAGCATGTGTCCCACCTTGGCCATGCTTATGGATTTCCAAATTTTTCATTGTATGTAAGCACTTTTGAGTATTCGAATTTCCCAAAGGAACTTTCTCTCCTGCTTTTTCCTCAAGTTTTCAGTACAGTATATCTTGCCTCAATTGTAATATTTTGCCTCAAATGGCTGAGGGTTGTTAATTTGCCTTTGGATGATCTGATTTCTAAAGGTTTGGTGGAATTCTCTGTGAAAACATCTAAACCTAGTGTTTGTGTGTGTGTTATAATTCCATGACAACTGTATTTCTCTATGGAAATTGCTCACATAAGTGCTGTACTTCTTTTTTTTTTTTTTTTTTGAAGTCAATTGTGGTGAATTGTATTTTTCTGGAAAATTACCCATTCCCTCTAGCTTTCAATGTTTTTCATAGATGTGAACAACATTGTTTTTAATGATTTTTTATTTGCTGATTATCAATAGTTATTTCTCTCACCATTCCTTATTCATTTTTGTGCTTTCTCTTTTTTTATTCATGATTAAAAGATCTAATTTTTTGTCAACTTTGTTGATTTGTTTAAAGAACAAGATTTTTGGTTTACTGATTTGATCTGTTTTTTGGCTTCTTATTTTATTAATTTTCACTTTTTTCTACTATGGGTTCTTTCTTGTACTTTCTGCTTACTCTTTTAGATACTTTTTACATTTTTCAGCTGATAATTTAATTCCTACACTTTTATTAATAAATGTGTTAAGGCTATAGATTTTCCTCTGATCACTGCTTTAACTATATCCCATATACAGATGCTCCTTGATGTATGATGAAGTTATGTCCCAACAAACCCCCGTAAACTGAAAATATCATAAGTTAAAAATGCATTTAGCACACCAAAAATTATAGGTTAGCCTAGCTTACTTTGAACATGCTCAGAACATTTTGATTAGACTTCATTGGTCAAAATAATCTAACAAAATGTCTAAATAAAGTATTGAATAACTGATATTTATTAAATATGGTACTGAAAATAAGAAACAGAATGGTTGTATGGGTACTCATCATTAATGTACATAGCTGAAATTACACAGGGCCTGAAGAATTTTTGAAGCATTGAGCTAAAGTTAATTGCTGAATGATGGGACTAATACTTTGACACAGTCAGTGTCTGTCTCTTCCGATGATGAGGGTTGAGAATAGCTGGTAGAAAGTATTGATGCTTGTTGATGGTAGGCAGGAATTATGTTCTTCAGGAAGATATCAATAATATTGATATCAGGAAGATATCAATAATGTCACAGATTATGCTTCATACTTGTCTTCCTGAGTCTTCTTTATCCCGAACACCCTGAGTTTTCGAATGGTTGACATGCCAGCTGGCTTTCTGCAGATGTACTTCTCGTGCGTAAATTTCCTTCTCTGTGAGGTATTCATATTGAACATGACCTCCAAGTGTGTTTGGGTCTGTGCAGAAGACAATAGGACTGCGATTTCTGATGATTAAAACCTGGATTGTATGTTACTGTGATCAGACCCTGAGACTGCGTTAGCAAGTTTTATAGCATCTGAGTCGCTCTGTTGGAGGAAAGTGCATGTGATGGGCATTTGCTTGCTTCCCCACCAGATTCTCTACCTTCACCCTTCCTGCAATATTCCCTAGGAAGCTGACCTCTGCTGAATGCAACACTCAGGTTCTCTGCTTCCTAGATTCTAGTTGAGTTTGGTCCATGGGAGGCCTTGGCAGAAATTTTGAGAGTAAGAGCAAATAATTACTTAACCATTAGAAAAAAATAACATGAATGTGTCCTTCTATCCATGGCCTCAGTTCCTGTTGGGGAGCCTCGGTGCCAATCCCTCGGTGCATCACCATTTCTAATTAGTTCCTGTTTTAGTCTGCTTTTGCGTGTGTGTGTGTGTGTGTGTGTGTGTGTGTGTGTGTGTGTGTGTGTTGTTATAAAGGAATACCAGAGGCTGAATAATTTTAAAGAAGAGAGGTTTATTTGGTTCACAGTTCTGAAGGTGTGCAAGAAGCATGGTGCCACCATTTGCTTCTGGTGAGGGCTTTAGTCTGTTTCCACTCATGGCAGAAGGGGAAGGGAAGCTGGCATGTGCAGAGATCACGTGGCAAGAGAGAGGGGTTTGTACCAGGCTCTTGTTAACAACCAGCTCTTGTGGGAATTAAGAGAGCTAGAACTAGGTAGGCACGGTGGCTTACACCTGTAATCCCAGCACTTTGGGAGGCCGAGGCAGGTGGATCACCTGAGGTCAGGAGTTTGAGACCAGCCTGGCCAACATGGTGAAACCCCGTCTCTACTAAAAATACCAAAAATTAGCTGGGCATAGTGGTGGGTACCTGTAATCCTAGCTACTCTGGAGGCTGACACAGGAGAATGGGTTGAACCCGTGAGGTGGATGTTGCAGTGAGCCAAGATCGCACCACTACATTCCAACCTGGGCAGCAAGAGTGAAACTACATCTCAAAAAGAAAAAAAGAGCGAGCAAGAACTCACTTGGATGGCACCAAGACATTCGTGAGAGGTCCACACTCAGGACCAAAACACCTCCCATTAGGCCCCACCTCCAACAATGGGGATCACATTTCAACATGAGTTTGGAGTGGTCAAATATCCAAACCCTAGCAGTTCCCTTAACCCTGGAAAGAGACCCTTCATTAAACTCTTTCTGCTTAATCCTTTGAGAGTGCAACAATTTCCTGCTAGGACCCTGACGGATAGAGGGACCATACAGATCACTAAAATGCTGAGGAATTTTTCAAATGAACTGCACCCAACAGACCTCCCTGATTCTGAATATATCAAACTTTTATTTTTTATTTTATTTTATTTTATTTTTTGAGACGGAATCTCGCCCTGTCACCCAGGCTGGAGTGCAGTGGTGCGATCTCGGCTCCCTGCAACCTCCACCTCCTGGGTTCAAGCGATTCTCCTGCCTTAGCCTCCCGAGTAGCTGGGACTACAGGCATCCACCAGCAGGCCCGGCTAATTTTTTATTTTTAGTAGAGATGGGGTTTCACCATGTTGACCGGGCTGGTCTTCAACTCCTGACTTCATGATCCACCCACCTTGGCTTCCCTAAGTGCTTGGATTACAGGCGTGAGCCGCTGCACCCAGCCAAACTTAAAAAAAAAAACCCAAATAGTACTTTGAACTTCACCCGCAGGGAGTTATTCAAATTGGTTGTCAGCCAGTTATTTCAGGTTGTTGAGATCATCTGGCTCTTGATTTTATTAATCATCTTAGCCTTCCCTTTCAACAATTTGCCGACTTTGTGCAAATTTTATTAATATGTGATCTCTGTCTTTATCCATGGAGAGGCAGTATAGTATCATGAGGAAAAATAGACTTTGGAGTAGGCAGAAATTAGGTTTGAATTACTAGCCACGAGGCTTTGGGAACATTACTTAAACTCTATAAGCTTCAATTTCTTTATCTATAAGGTATAGATACCTTACCTTTATCTATACCTTATAGATACCTTTATCTATAAGGTATAGATCTTTATCTATAAAACCTGAAAGTTTTGGCATGAGTTTAGTAAAACTGTCTGTGAAGCCCTTGTGGACTGCTTGGTCCATGTAGGCATTTGATAAATGGTGGCTTTATATAGAGTAGGGAAATGCAAGCTATCTCAAAAAGAAATCAGGGAAATAAGAATGCCATCTGAAATCTGTCATATGAGAATGAAAGGAGCATAGACAGGTTTTGAGTGTGGGGTGAGGAGTAGGGGAGGGGAGGAGATAAGTGAACTGCCCCTCAGACTTCCAGGGAGGAGAAAAATGATGTCACTGGGAACTGCAGTCATTTGAAAAGATAGCAATCAAGCATTTCTTTCAGAGCCCTGTTCATCTTTCAGTGGCTTTGCTTCTCCAGATGCTTTTGCTCCTTCAATTATCTCTGCCTTCTCCCACCTCCTCTCCAACCATCTCTTCCCTTCCTTAATTCACAATTTTTCTCCCTCTTTTCAAGGCATAGTGCTTTGATTTATAAATTAGTTCTATGTTTCTGTTTTCTAATTTATTAGTTTCTGCTTTCTTATTTATTTATTTTGAGATGGAGTGTCACTCTGTTGCCCCAGTTGGAGTGCAGTGGCATGATCTTGGCTCACTGCAACCTCTGCCTCTCAGGTTCAAGAGATTCTCCTGCCTCAGCCTCCCAAGTAGCTGGAATTACAGGAGTGCGCAACCAAGCCTGGCTAGTTTTTGTATTTGTAGGAGAGACAAGATTTCACCATGTTGGCCAGGCTGGTCTGGAACTCCTGACCTCAGGTGATCTGCCTGCCTCAGCCTCCCAAAGTGCTGGGATTACAGATGTGAGTCACCGTGCCTAGCCTGCTTTCATATTTATTAACACATTATTTCCACTTTCCTAAGGATAGTTGTTGTTCAACCTTTACTAGCTTTTTTGTTGTTCATACTTAATACATTTATTTTTATTGTGCTATAGCTATTTCCCACATGTGATTTTTTTTTTTTTTTTTGAGATAGGATCTTGCTCTGTTGCTGAGGCTGGAGTGCAGTGATATGATCATGGCTTGCTGAAGCCCTGAACTCCTGAGGTTGGGTGATTCTCCCACCTTAGCCTCTCAAGTAGATGGGATTACAAGAAGTACCACTATACCTGGCTATTTAAAATTTTTTTTTGGCGTGTGTGGAGATGGAGTCTCCCTATGTTGTCCAGGCTGGTTGCGAACTCCTGGTCTCAAGTGATCCTGCCACCTTGGCATCTCAAAATGCTGGGATTACACATGTGTAATATTTTTATTGTCACTATTTTCCACATATTCTGGAAATTTTATTTGGATTTCTTTTTTTTTTTTTTTTGACAGAGTCTTGCTGTGTCACCTAGGCTGGAGTGCAGTGGTGCAATCTCAGCTCACTGCAACCTCCACCTTCTGGGTTCAAGGAATTCTCCTGCCTCAGCCTCCTAAGTAGCTGGGATTACAGGCATGCGCCACCAGGCCCAGCTAATTTTTGTATTTTTAGTAGAGACAGGGTGTCGCCATGTTGACGAGGCTGGTCTTGAACTCCTGACCTCAAGTGACCTGCCCACCTTGGCCTCCCAAAGTACTGGAATTACAGGCATGAGCCACTGTACCCGGCCTGGATTTCTTTTTGACATAGAATTATTTAAGAGAAAGCTTTTAAATTTTCATGCTGTAATTTCTAGTTTTGTTGTGTCATAATCAGAGAATATAATCTGTAGCATTTCTACATTCTCTACTTTGCTTAGATGTTTTTAGGGTGGGGTGTGTAATATGTACTGAATTTTGTAAACATTTTATGGACATACAAATTTCAATGTTTACTTTTTCAGGCTATAGGCTTTGCTACATAATCTTTGTGTATTTTTTGGTCCTCATATAGATTTTTTAATTACCTTTTTGCTGTGATAGAGATTAGAAGGGTAAATTAATGTCTCATTTACCATCATTTTTCTTTCTGTATCTCTTTTCATTTCCTGATGCTTTGGCTTTATGAAATCTTTATGTATAAAAATTGTGCACACATATCTTTATGCACAGTGTTTTGGATTTTACCCTTCATAATGAGCTTTTTTCTCTCCTTTGAATTTGACCTGGCCTGGTGTTAACAGCCCAGGTGTAAAATTCCAGTGAGAAAGAAGTCTGATGAGGAGTCAGTAGGATCTTTGTGTTGCTGAGAACTGCTCAGTAACACGGACAGCTCCCTGCACTCCAGGAAACATCCTGATTCAGTGTCTTGAGTATTGTGAAACACAGTTAGAGCAGAAACATGGAGAATCACCTTAAAATGGCAAATTGGCTTCTGGTCTTGCATAAGACTTCATTGAGGCCTAATGGGCTATGCAGGTCTACTGTCCAAAGTACAGAGGTTATTCCTAGTGTCTTTAATATTACTGTCCCTTTAGGCAAGAGTATCCTTATGATAAGGGAGACTGAATTAAGCTATTTTGGCTGAGGTATATTTTTATAAATTCATCCAATTAGCTTCCCTTGTTGTAGTTTTGGCTCACCAAACATTGTTCTGATTATAATTTAGCATCCCATATAATTTCATCTGCAGGGAGAGTCTGTACTAGGCATGGCGATGCTTACATGTCAGCCCGTGTGACTGCAAGAGTCTCAGTATAATTTGATAACATGGCACTCAGATTCTAGACATTATTCTCTGTGTGCTTAGTGAGTGTGATGACATAACCTTCAGAAAGATTCATCCTTTCTCACATATTGATAAATCAACTTTTACATCTACAAAGTTGAGAGCCAGAAATTAAAACCTGATTAATTCACTAAGGCATCCCTATGACGGCAGTCTTCCAACTAGCTCCATTCTGGGGCACTCTGACATCATTATACACTTTCCAATGAAAGCAGGGAGTGTATGTGATTAAAGGGAGAGCCCTGTGGCACTCCTGAAAAATCTCCCCTCCCAGTTCACAGTGACTTATTAACCAACACTCATGATCATGTGAAACTCTAGAACTGGATCTGGGTGCCTGGCAGGATGACATGGTGTGAGGCTCAAGCAGCACTGTGGGAATTCAAGCATCTGTTTATTTCTGAGAGAAAAAGTGTAAAGCAAAATAATATCTTTTAACAAATGTTTGTATTTGACTAAAAAGGAAGCAAGCACTTAATTTATGAATTTGCTAATTGCTCTTCTGAGCTGAGAATATCTGTGTTGAATATTAGTCATTATCCATATTTGGCACAGAATAATCCCGAGGGCTAAATGACATTGTTCCTACAGTGGGCACCTGAAGACTGGCTATAAAAGCAATCCTGGCCAGGGGCGGTGGCTCACGCCTGTAATCCCAGCACTTTGGGAGGCCAACGTGGGTGGATCATGAGGTCAGGAGTTTGAGACCAGCGTGGCCAACATAGTGAAACCTCATCTCTACTAAAAATATAAAAAAATTATCTAGGCACGGTGGCAGACACCTGTAATCCCAGCTACTTGGGCGGCTGAGACAGGAGAATCACTTGAACCTGGGAGGCAGAAGTTGCAGTGAGTCAAGATTGCGCCAATGCACTCCAGCCCAGGCGACAGTGTGAGACTCTGTCCAAAAAAAAAAAAGAAGAAAAAAAGAGAAAGGAAAAAAAAAGGAAAAATAAATAAATAAGTAAATAAATAAATACATAAAAGCAACCCTAACACTACTGAGGCTATTGACAGTGGCACTTTGCTCTTCTGTTAGAACCTTGGGAAAATGTTTTCCCCCTGAATACAGTATAATAAACTTGGTTCTTATTTCTCTTTCTCTCCCCCTCCTTTTTTCTTCCCTCCCCACTACCACATGCACACACACAAATAGACAGATTTGTTTATATTTGACTTTCTAAAAACCTGTTACTAGAAAGGCACATTAATACATTTCTCCTGTGCTGATAGTAATCAGGCAACTCTGGTTTCTATCGGAGGCAATTTCTTACGTATTAAATGCCAGAAAAAGGGCATCCCTCCGTTTTTGTAGAGAGCCTTTCTTTATGAAGACTAATGACCACATTAGTTAGTCAGTCAGTCAATAATACTTACCAAATGTCAGTAGAGCCGAAGTGAACACCAACAGAAAATCACATTTTACAAATGCAATTTACTTGGTATCCTAACATGCCATGTCATAATAATTATTGAGGCTTTTCTTCTCTGCTGCATTGGTCTAATGAAAGTGGCTAGAAAAATATGGGTGCCCATGTAGCCTCCTGGAAGCACCTGTATGACTTTTCTAGAAGCGAGGTTCCTGGATAAAGATGAATTTTTAAAAGCTGGAATGAATGAGCAGCAATAGCAGAAGGAGAAAAGTGAGTGAGGGCTCTCCAAGAAGCCATCTGGCAGGCTAAGGGTTCTGAGGGAAGCTCTGGTTTCAGAAGCAACTCAGGAATTACTTCTGTCATATTAGGATGGGATGGTAGGAGATTGGGAACTCTAGGGACTAGAAGTCATTTAATTTCCTGTCTACAATCCTTAGAAGAGGTTTTGAGACTTGCAACCTAGGACCTTAACTAATCATCTTCCCTCAGCATTGATAGAATTCTTTATTATACATGTTAATATCAGATTAGTCAGGATGGGCTGGATTATGCTGTGTTAACAGCCATTCTCTAAATCTCTGTGGCTCAACATGGAGCTCTGCCTGTCATGGTCACTTGGGACCCAGGCTTTGGGTATAAGGCTACAGCACATGGAAAACGTATGAATGTCTCTCAGATTCTTAAAGCTTCTGCTGGAAGTGACATGTCATTCTGCTCACAGTTCATTGGCTAAATGAGTCACGTGGCTCTCTCTAACTTCAAGGATGGTATGAAATTGCAATCCTACCATGTTTCTAGAAGGAGAACCAGCCCTAATCACAATGCTACATGTTTATAGCTTGCCTCATAGAGTTTACTGTATTCTCCTGGTATAATTTTCTTACATGCTCAACTGGAGAGGAAGCTCTTAAATAGAAAAAAATCACAGTAAATTTCCTTTAAAAGATCTATTTTACAACTCTAGCATGATGGAGCACAATGGAGTCCTTAGTAATGGACTCCATCTCTTCCATCAGATAAAATGTTGAGAACTGAAGTTAAAATTTGAATAATGAAACCAAAGGAAAAAAAATTAAATGAATTTTAAGACAATTGAGATAAGAACAACTGTGGCATCAGCATAATTCAATTTAATAATGTATTAAATATTTTGCAGAAAAGTGAAAACAAATTGATAGCCAAATCAATGCAGCATTAAGCCACCATGTGGTCTAATTTCTTGCTGAATTGACAAAACAAAACACTAGTTTAGTTATATAAACATGGCTGATGTTTATACAAACAACAGAATTTGCCGGTAGCATTATCACTGGAAAATAAGATGTGTACTTAATTCTTGTATGTTCTGAGCCCATCTAGGAAGAACATAAAAGACGAAGAACAAAGCAATCACAGGATGTTATCATGAAAATATCACCTTTGGCTGGAGTAAAGTTTTGGCTAAATGTGGCACTAGTATTTATTACAGCTCACCTTTTTATAATGAAGGGCTATGGACTGAACATTCTTATTATTTCCCATTTTCTTACCACTCTATCCCAACACACATGCACATGCATGCACACACGCACACACACTGGCACCCACACCCATGCATGTGGGACACACAGAGCAGCCCAGGCAATTTCAATTGTTGGCAGCTTTGCTTTTATTAGGTATTAGTCTACCAACTTGCTTTCTCTTTAGAGAGACTAAGTGAAACCAAACTCATTTCCACCCAGTTATCCTGCTGGAACCTGTAACAGTTACTGTAATGTTAAAAGCAGTAAAACAAAATAAAAACCAGTCAGTTCACTTACTCCCGAAGTCCGCAGTTTGGTGTTCAGCTTTAAAACGTGCTCTGGGCGTCCTGTGGTGGCTACCAGAGGCTTTGGTGAGTCATTGTCAACCCAGTAGCTAGAGAAGTGCTGGAATGCCCCTGTTAAATACAGAGCCAGTTTGTCCTTCAGAATGGCTGCTTGAACGAATTTACTGCTCAACTCGAAAGGCCATTTTTTATAACCCACTGCAGTTGTGCTTCATGTGTTTCTCCACCTATCCTGTAAAGTGTATTGTGAAATTAATTTTGTAGATTTCCTCACACTGCAGTGACTAGGGAAATCACCCATTCATTATTATCTAATGAGGAGAAAGTGGAAACATCTAGAAGCACTGCTCCCATCCTCCTCCCCAGCCCACACAGACACCTACCTCAGGCCCTCCCTGTCCCAGGTGAGCAGAGGGCCCCACCTTCGGAGGTTGCCTCCCTTCCACCTTCACCAATCCTATGACCAGATTATCCCCAAGGAAATGTCAATCTCCAGGCAGCAAGGGAATCATATAAAGATAAGATCATTGAGAGATTTTTTTCCTCCGTGATTGGCAGTTTATATTTTCTTGGGTCTACAAATCTGACAGCATTTATTAAATTTTCTAGTTTGATACTGACCTCTGTCTGATGCTGGGCTGTCACCATGCCCAAGACTGAGGGGACCCACAGTCTAGCTAGAAGGCATGGATCAATTCCAACTGCCCTACCCCTAGCCTGTGTGCAGGAGAAAGCTCTCAGGCTCTGGCAGAGGAGTCCCAGGGGAAGGATGCATGATCTTCCACTGTGCCTCCCAGCCATGCTGAGCAGCAAAGCAGACCATGAGCAGGTCTCCCTTAAATTCATTTGCTTGATTTGTCCTTGAGTGTCCTTGGATGGGTTTGTTCCCTCCTTGTCCAGTATGTCTTGGTCATCCTGATTCCTGGGCTTGGCTCCCAGGTTGATTCTTTCCCTGACACAAAACAGGCACTATGGGCAAAGACACCTGCAGCCTTGGAGAGACCAGTGATGCTGGATGTTTCCTGTTAGCACTCAGGAAAGCTCAGAGCTTTTGATGAGCATCTTTTGATCCATTAGTTAAAACCACGCTGGGTTCTTTATAGTGGTTAGTTAGCTCTGGGCTATGGGATTGTGGAAGACATTTATTTCTTCTTTGGATTCACCTGGATTTTCTGCAACGGACATGTATCGATAAAATACATGGTGCTTTTCAGAAATTGCCCCATCATCATGTTGCTGTTGTTGTTATTGATATTGTTGTTTCTGATGGATAGAGATCTAGGCCTGACACTCCAAGCAGTGTGAACAGCATTTACCTTGATAAGCATTCTTACATCTTAACCCTCAGGAATTTTAAATAGAAGTGTTCCGTGTGATTAAATTAACAGGTTTAGAGATGGGTGTCCTGGTTATTTCCTTTGTTCTCCTCCTGGTAGCTGCCTGCACTCACAGCGTGTTGGGAATGGTGATTATAAATGTAACCATGCTCTCTTCTTGTAAGTGGAGAGCCCAGGTACCTCTTATCCAGCATGTGACCCTCTTTCTACCTCAGGATAGTCATACTCTTAGGCTTCCTAGATTTATTCAGGGCCAAAGGAGTGGTCAAGGTCCTTTTTGTTTTGCCCTATTCCCTTTGGAAAACATTTAGTTTATGCCCATGTTACAGATTGCAAAATACAGGCACATATTCTCACTAATGTGGTCTGCATGTCCCTTTGCAAGGACATGCAATGTGACTTCACTACTCCTTTCATCAAGAAAAGGAGCCTCTTGGTCGGGCACGGTGGCTCACGCCTGTAATCCCAGCACTTTGGGAGGCCAAGGCAGGCAGATCACGAGGTCAGGAGATGGAGACCATCCTGCCTAACACAGTGAAACACAGTCTCTACCAAAAAATACAAAAAAAAAAAAAAATTAGCCAGGCGTGGTGGTAGGTGCCTGTAGTCTCAGCTACTTGGGAGCCTGAGGCAGGGGAATGGCGTGAACCCAGGAGGCAGAGCTTGCAGTGAGCCTAGATCGCGCCACTGCACTCCAGCCTGGGCAACAGAGCAAGATTCTGACTCAAAAAAAAAAAAAAAAAAAGAAAAGAAAAGGAGCCTCTTTGCCTCTTTACCCTAATCTGGGCAAGCCTTGCAACCTGATTTGCCAAAAAAAATATGAAGGAAGCAATGTGATGTGATTTTCCAGGCTAGAATGTAAGAAGCCTTGGAGCTTCTGCATTTACTGTCTTCAGATGCTGCCTGAAACCACTGTAAGAAGCTCTAACCTACTGGAGGATAAGGGGTGAGCCCAAGAGCATCAAGGCTCCCATCAACAGCCAGTCCTGTGAGTGAGGCCATCTTGGACCTGCCAGCTCAGTAAACCCTTTTGCTGAACACAGCCCAAGGAAGGAACCCTTGCAAAATGAAATCATGTGGTCAGTTTGCAGGGTGGTTATTACACAGCAGTAGATGATTGAAAAGGCCCAGTGTCTTCCTGGGGACTGAAACACCCACCTCCTGTTCATGTTGATACACGGTGAGCAGAATATGGATGTGGGAGTGGTGTTGGTTGCAGGTGAGGTAGAGAAGCACTGAACAGAGCACAAAGACCTGATGTTCCAGGGTCGGGAGTTTAGACTTGATCCTAACAGCGGCCATAGGCGGATTTAGGCAAGAGAGTAACGTGGTCAGATTTTCATTTTAGAAAGTTACTCTGACATCCATGTGGAGAATGAACTTGAAGGTCACAAGGCTGATGGAGCCAGGAAGACCATTTGGGAGGTGATCGTAGTAATCTACTTAAGAGTTCATTACGAGCTGGGGAATGGGGAGGTGTTAGAGAAGAGAAAATGGATTTGAAGAGCTGAGGGATGTTAAAAAGGCAAAACTGGGCCAGGGATGGTGGCTCACGCCTGTAATCCCAGCACTTTGGGAGGCCAAGGTGGACAGATCATGAGGTCAAGAGATTGAGATCATCTGGGCCAATATGGTGAAATCCCCTCTCTACTAAAAATACAAAAATTATCTGGATGTAGTGGCACACACCTATAATCCCAGCTACTTGGGAAGCTGAGGCAGGAGAATCGCTTGAACCCAGGCAGTGGAGGTTGCAGTGAGCTGAGATTGCACCACCGCACACCAGCCTGGTGACAGAGCAAGACTCCGTCTAAAAAAAAAAAACAACGGAAAATTGTTGGGACTTGTAATTAATTGGGTGAGGAAACTGAGTGGCAAATGGTCTCAGCTCTACACATGGAGAGCCCTGGGGACATAGGGAGAGCACATTTGGAAGGAAAGATGATGATTTTAGTTCTTAAAATTTTGTTTGTGGAGGAGGCATTCAGACAGAGAATTCTGTTGGGCAGTTTTATGTAGAGAACTACATCTAAAGAGGTCAGAAGTGAACTTCAATAAAATTGAGGTGACCAATGATCATCAGTTTTAAAGAGGACATATTTTCTTTTTCTGTTAAAGGGAACACACCTATGAGTCAGAAAGCCAGACATTTATTTTTTCTCGCCAAAGGTTATTGTACAACCTACGGAAGAGAGTGTAAACACTGGTCTTTAAGATGAATTGTAAAGCTCTAAAGAGAATAAGAAAAATTGTGTTTCATGATTTATGATGGATAACATTTTAGAGTTGATTTCATAAGAGAATTCATTAAGCCAATAGACAACCATGGCATTTTAACTGTAGTGTTTAAGTATCTTTAGCTCTGATTTTTTAATTAGCAGAAGCAAATAAAGAGAGCTTCATTTTAACCATGAGAAATCTCTCTTCTGTATTTCATGTGACTAAATTTGTCCAGACGCTGAAGTTCAAATAATCACAGTGATTGCCAACATAATGGTTAATTTTCTGAGAAGTAAGTTCATGCTTTGCCACAGTTTGCTCCCCTGTAAGATCAGACAGAAAAATAAGAATAAAACCGACTAATAGCTATTGATTGCTTCTGGAACAGCTATCAATATAAAGAGCCAGACAAAACACATAATAAAGAATTGTGTTAGTGCCAGAGAGACTTTAGAGATCATTTGCCCATCTCTTTACCTTCTCCCACTTCTTTCTGTCCCTCCACCCCACCAGCTCTGATACAGACACACAGGATATTAGTAAAGGATAGTATTTTTTGAGAGCCTTTTGCATGTCAGGCACTGCTTCTAAACGTTGTATAATACCAGCTCATTCAATCTTCAAATCAATGCTATACAGTAGGTACTCTTCTTCTTTTTTTTTTTTTTTTTAAATTTTACAGCTGAGGGACTGAGGTATGGAGAGGTTAGGTAACTTGTTCAAGGACACCAAGCCAGTCAGGCTGCCACTGGACCTAAGACAAGGTAACCTGGCTCTGAGACCAACCCCACAGAGAAGTATGTGGATGCTGACAACACTGTAGGAAGTTACAAGGAGCAAAAGAATAGCAGCCTCAGCCCTGAATTCCACTGTAAGCTTCCCTCTAATCTTCCCTGCCTCACTCTCAATCGAATAAAGAGCTGATCAGGAAGCAACTATGCACGGTCTTCCCCTCCACACCTCCAGCCCCAGCTCCCTTCCCCAGACTCAGTGCCAGCCTGTGCCAGCCCCCAAGATGGCAGTGTGGAGCCATGCACTAGGTCTGCCGCGCACCCAGCAGTCGGCTGTGGGTTCTTTGTATCTGTCAGAGTCCTGGCAGGAAATGGTTTCATTCTCAAAGGGTTAACTAGGAAGAATTTAGTGAAGGGTCAGTTTACAAGGTTCAGGAACTAACGGAAAATGGTGAAGCACCCAGGGACTGGCACTGGAGCTTCCCCACAGGAGCTGAGGCCAGAGAAGTATACATCCATTGTTGTCTTAAAGAGTGGTTAACTATCTATTTGCTCTTACTTTCAACATTTCTGCTGGGGCCTTGCATTGAGCAAACTCAACTGTAATCTAGAGAGCAGGGACTCCTGAGTGGCACATTCAGTGGGAGTCAGCTTCCTAGGGAATCATTTATTTATTTATTATTTATTTATCAGAGTCTCACTCTGTAGCCCAGGCTGGAGTGCAGTGGTGCGATCTTGGCTCACTGCAACCTCTGCCTCCCGGGTCTCTGTTCAAGCAATTCTCCTGCCTCAGCCTCCTGAGTAGCTGGGATTACAGGCACGTGCCCCCATGCCCAGCTAATTTTTGTATTTTTAGTAGAGACGGGGTTTCACCATGTTGGCCAAGCTGGTCTTGAACTCCTGACCTTGTGATCTGACTGCCTCAGACTCCCAAATTGCTGGGCTTACAGGCATGAGCCACTGAGCCCTGCCTTCCTAGGGAATCTTGTAGGAAAGACAAAGGTAGAGAATCTGTCTGATGGCAGAAGCAAATGAATGCCCATCACATGCACTTTCCTCCAACAGAGCAACTCGGATGCTATGAAACAATGCTAAGTCAGTCTCAGTGTCTGTTGCAGTAATATTGTACATACTGTAGGTCTTAATCATAGGAAATTACATGCCCATTGCCCTGTGCATGGACCGGAGCGCACTTATGGGGGGCCGGTAGTCCTCCTTTCAGACATCTTTTTTTTCTCTGCCCCAACAAGTGGCCTTTCCATAGAAGACTGCCCAGAGAACCCTATGGCAACCCTACCCTCTTATTCCACTTTATTTTTCTTCAAAGTGTTTATTACTCCCTGTTGTTATGTTAGACTCTATATTTCTGTATTTGCTGTCCTCCAACTTGAAAAGAACCTCTGAGAGGGGAGGGACTTTCCTGGTCACATTCACTTGTCCCAGCACCTGCGATGGTGCCTGACATATCTCAGGGGCTCCTTAAATATTTATTGCTAGACAATGGGTATCATGGCTCAGCCTCCTCTGGGGTTACGAGGCTGGAGGAAAGAAACTTTAGCATGAGTGCAGTGAGAGTAAAAGAATTCAGCAGCTCTAATCAGGGAATGAATCTGGTGTGTAATAGGATCTCAAGGCTTGACTCCTAGTCTAAGACCATTTCTGGAGTTTGCTGACTTGATCCCCATCCTTCATCATTAGCACTTTGCAGGGAAGGAGCTGAGCGTGGATCTTGACTCTGAATTGGCTGGGACATGCAAAATCGGGGGCATGCTTGGTGTTGCCCAGGCTCAGCTCTGCCTAGACACACGTGAGGGCCAAGATCTGGTTTGTGTTTCATGAGCTCTCCCAGGATGAAGACCCAGCCAGGCTGTCTGAAGAAGGGGTGTTCTTGAGTAGGAGGGAAGTACTGCTCCAATACGAAAAATCTAACAATAGCATAGTCCTTAAGAGCTTGAGCTTTGAAGAGGGAGAACAGACCCATTTAAGGCATGAAAAATAAAGGAAACTCTTGAGTCCCTCCAAGGAAAATTCCAGCCACCTGGCTAGCCTCAAGAAGTAGATGAGCACCCTGATAAGTAAGAAGGTAATAATAGCTTAAAACAATAGTCAAGAAAATTAGAGCCACAAACTAATCTTAAATGACGAGTTAATGGGTGCAGCACACCAACATGGTACATGTATACATACGTAACAGACCTGCACGTTGTGCACATGTACCCTAAAACTTAAAGTATAATTAAAAAAAAAAGAAAATTAGAGCCACAAAATGTTTGTTTCCCTATAGAAACTAGAGATAACATCTTAACATATGTCCCTGAGTTGTTTTGTAGAAACCCAGACCCCGCTAAATGGAAAATACCACCTGTTGGCTCGTAGATCTCAGATAAGGAGGAACTGAGGACTGAACACTCACAACTGTTCTTTGTTCTAAATTTCTTCCTGAGGGACCTGGAGGAAGTCACACCCACAGGCCAGAGCAGAACATTCCTTTCTGCTGACCCCAAGTTTGTAGCCAAAACTTAACCAATCACAAATCAGAAAATCTTTGGGTTTTTGTTTGTTTGTTTGAGACAGAGTCTCACTCTGCTGCCCAGGCTGGAGTGCAGTGGCACGATCTCAGCTCACTGAACCCTCTGCCTCCCACGTTCAAACGATTCTCATGCTTCAGCCTCCTGAGTAGCTGGGATTACAGGTGCACACCACCATGCCCAGATAATTTTTGTATTTTTAGTAGAGATGGTGTTTTGCCATGTTTGTCTGGCTGGTCTCAAACTCCTGGCCTCAAGTTATCCACCCACCTTGGCCTCCCAAAGCGCTGAGATTACAGGTGTGAACCACTGCACCTGGTCTCAAATCAGAAAATCTTTGAATTCATCTAATGGTCACCTATCCTGTGGGCCCTCACTTTGAGATATTTTGCCTTTTTTGGCCAAACCAATATGTAGCCTCCATGTATTATATGACCTTGCCTGCAACCTCTGCCTTCCCACCTTTAAAAACCCTTACACATAAGCCATCAGGGAGATTAGGCCTTAAGGATTAGCTGCCTGATACTCCTTGCTTGCTGCCTGCAATAAATTCCTCAACTTCTGTCTCAGCAATGCCGATATCAGTGCTTGACTTTGATAGGCTGGGTGGGTGGACCCAAATTTGGTTTGGTGACCCTTTGAGCTTAGATTCAAAATTCTAGTTTTGTCACTCTGCAGTTTTGTGATCTTGAGCAAGTTACTTAACCTCTCTGAGCCTTGTTTGTCATGTGTAATGAAAAGAGCTATACTTACCTTGTGAGGTAGTCCTCAGGATTCAATGAGATAATAAGTACTCACTAAACAAAACTCGTTATTACAAAAGAATCACTTTGTCTCTGAAGTGGGCAATTCAACCCATTTCTAGGAGATTTTAAACATGATTTTAGATATTTGGTGTGATTTTGTGAATGGGTTTATCGTTAATAGCTTTCATGCTCCAGAATTTTCTTGAATAATAGGTTTTTGCAAAGTGCATTCCATGGAATACTCATTTGGGTGACGTTAATAGACATCACTCAAAAGCTGGGTGAATATTACAATGTTTACTTCATCTGTAACAAGCTGAGTAGCTACAGTACATATCTAAGAGGGGGCTCTAATTCTCAATATTTTCCAAATTTATTAGATCACAGACTTTTCTTTTAGTGAAGTGCTTAATGAAACTTAAGTTCTGTGAAAAGTACTTTGAGAAATATTGCTTTAAAAAGAAAAAGATTGAGCCCTGTATCAGGGGAAATATCTAATATTATATTAAACAAAAAAGTCCCACTGAAGAAAATCATCTTATTGTTCATAGACCTTAGTTTAGGTATTGGGGCCAAAGGATGGATGACCATTTCAAACGATCCAGGCTAAGCCAGGAGGAGAGCTCAAAGTCTGATCTGGTGAGTAAGTTGTGAAGGGAATGTGATGAAAAAGTACACTTCTATTGCAAAGAAATCATGAGCTAGGTTTATACGCTATGCTGTGAATGGCCAATAGATTATAAATTCAACAGTCTCCCTGTCACAGCTATGGTAATGACGACTGTTTAGGCCTTAGGGGAGCTTTAGGGAGAGGCAATTTCATACTTAAGTCACACTGACTTAAAAAGTGAAATATTTGAAATCATTGTTGAAATCACGTGGAGGTCGTCAGCAAGCGGATGAGGTTGGAATGCCTATCATTTTCCTCAAGCTCATGTCCTCTCATTTTCTTATTTGAAAATCTATTTGGCTCAGAAAGGACACCTAGGGTTAGTCAAAAATCACCTCCTGATGTTCCTTTTAAAGGAAGCTTCCAAGTTATTTGAATAGCTTCCAAGTTATTCATCGAGAAACAAAGCAAATTCAAAGATTATGTCCGTAAGCACAAACTGGATTTTAAGAAATCCTGGCTGCATAAACAATTGTCTTATAGAAAAGAATTTCTGTTCCTCTTTTCCCTCCCCTTGTCAATCCTATTTGTTTCAGACCTGGGTTCAAACACTAGCTGTAGAGGCTATAAGCTATTGGAAGCACATTTGAGCCTGAAATAAACTGAACCTCTTTTGCCTTGGTTTTCTCACTTGTAAATGGGGATTTTTGTGTCTACCTCAAAGGTACGTTGCAAGGATCGAGGGACAGAGCGTGCAGCAAGTGGCCAATGAATAGAAGTCTGGTTTTCTGAGCATCCTTGCAGCTGCAGGCTTCAGTCTACCAGAGAATGTGAGGTGTTATTCTTCTAGGGCAGTGGTTAGAAAAGAAAATGAAAGTAGCAGTACTCTTTTCCTAATGCAACCATAGATGGATGATCAGAATTTGTAATCCATAAGGTAGAAGCTGCTGTGCCTGAAGAAATAGAAAGTGGGCAGAGGTGGAGGGGCAAGGTAGGGAGTGGAGTGGAAGGTAGGGAGAGTTTGATCCTAGCCTGCACTGCTCCTCAGAGGTACTTTAGCCTCTTTGGAACAGTATTAGAAAATCATGGTTCTATCAACTCATGTCTGAAAATCAATTGCTATTTCAGAGCAGGAGGTGACCAATCTTGGAAATAAGGAAGGGAGAGAGGCAGCCAAGCCAGCAGCTCCTAGGATTAGTCACTGCCTGGAGCCAGCTCTTGGAAGTTCCCCAGGAGCTGTCCAGTCTTATGTCATGTCTAGTCAGCAGAGTCCCAAAGAAGCTTGTCATTCTCTAGGCATTTGTGCTTACATTCTGATGGGCCTAATAGCAGGGAGATGACATGGAGCCCAGGCAGAACAGCTGAGATTTCTACTGGTCATGACCTCCATCTTCTCCTTCACACCTTTCCTACCTTTCTTTTTCCATGCATTCAACAGACATTTATTACCCAATAAGTGCCAGGTAGTAAGCGAGGACCTGGGGAGAGCAGATGAGTAAGACACCGTCTCTGTCTCTCAGGAGCTCTCAGATTCTTAGGGACACATGTACATCCTAATAAACACAGTGCATCTCATGAATGTGTAAGTTTAAGTTATTGATATAGGCACACACAGACAGAGGGACTTCGTTCCCTGCAGGTTCTGTAGTATTTCGTGCCCACTCCCCTTTCTTCCCTTGCTGCTCACATCATCCTGCCTTCAAGGAATCTGGGGGGATGGTAGACTGAAAGTGGCCCTTTCTGCATAATTCTTCTTGAAAATAAACATTTGCTCTCTTCTTAGAGGCTGACTATACTGAGAGCTACCACTCCTTGGCTGCTTATTAGCCATTGGGTTATTGCTAAGCCCTTTACATATGTTATATCATTTAATTGTATTGAATCTTCACCATAACACTTCAATGGAAATATTTTTCCAAATAAGGAAAGGTGAGACTCAAAGTAGTTGTATTAGTCTGCATTGCTATGAAGAACTACCTGAAACCGGGTAACTTATAAAGAAAAGAGGTGGGCCGGGCGCGGTGGCTCATGCCTATAATCCTAGCACTTTGGGAGGCCGAGGTGGGCAGACCACGAGGTCGGGAGTTAGAGACCAGCCTGGCCAACATGGTGAAACCCCGTGTCTACTACACACACACACACACACACACACACACACACACACACACCTGTAATCCTAGCTACTCAGGAGGCTGAGGCAGGAGGATTGCTTGAACCCTGGAGGTGGAGGTTGCATTGAGCCAAGATCACACCACTGCACTCCAGCCTGAGTGACAGAGCGAGACTCCATCTCAAAAAAAAAAAAAAAAAAAAAAAAAAAAGAAAGATGTTTAATTGACTCTATGTTCCACAGGCCATACAGGAAGCATGGCTTGGGAGCATGGCTGTACTCCAGCCTAGGCGACAGAGTGAGACTCTGTCTCAAAAAAAAAAAAAAAAAATCCCCATATCCCCATTCACTGTCCTTTTCTCTAGAAAATACCCCATTTCATATAACTGTCTAAACAACGGTTTAAGGTCTACACAAGATTGTGAAGTGAACCTGCAGGATTAGGAGGGTAAGGATTCCCACCTAGGTGGGCTCACTTGCTCTGCCATACCTGGGTAGGATCCCAGCCTGCTTCTGTGATTGTCAGGAGGCACCAAAAAGGCTACCCTAGGTTTTCTGTCATTCGGCCCAAACATTTCCTCTGCTGGGCAAATGTGGAAAAGAGGCATTAAGCTGGTGCTCCCACAACTGAAAGGAAAGCAATTCTCTTTCTGTTGTGGTTCCTTCCTCTTTGGACTCTTTTCTTCCATTCCAGCCTATCCCCTTCTTGGAAAAGCTGTTCTACCAATAGCAGGGAAGAAACAGCGCCGTGTACCTGATACGCTACCCTGGGCACAGGCGATCAGACCAGGGATAGACACCTGAACTGATCTGGGCAGATGCCCTCTTCTGGCCATTGAGAATTGACAGCATCAGACATCTAGAACATAATAGTATTTTTAAATTCTGCAGGGACATCCACCAGGCTGAGGGGGACCAATTTTGTTTTAAAAATGTATCCTGAACTTGGCCAGGCATGGTGGCTCATGCCTGTAATCACAGCACTTTGAGAGGCCAAGGTGGGCGGATCACTTGAGGTCAGGAGTTTGAGACCAGCCTGGCCAACGTGGTAAAATCCTGTGTCTATTAAAAAATACAAAAATTAGCCAGGCGTGGTGGTGTGTACCTGTAATCCCAGCTGCTGGGAAGGCTGAGGCAGGAGAATTGCTTGGACCAGGGAGGTGGAGGTTGCAGTGAGGTGAGATCATGCCACTGCATTCCAGCCTGGCCAACAAGAGCAAAATTCCATCTCAAAAAAAAAAGTATCCCAAACTTGGAAGTAAAAATAGGATGACTGCACGTCTTTCTAATGCCATACTGGAAGGTTGCCTAACAAACCACCAAAGCTTTTTTTAACTCTCTAAGGGAAGGTACTTTTGTTTGACTTACTATTTACTATTGATTAGGGCCCAGACTCTGCCAAGTTACATGTTAATTTTTGTCTGGTAGAGATACAAATGATTTTTGTCCTGTAAAAAGATTTTATTGCTCCACAGGACATTAATGAGTGAGGTTTCCAAATTAGCAAACTTATGTCAGCATGCTGTTTCTGATGGTCTATCCAAATCTTTCTCCTTCCAATTCTCTTTTCAAACAGCTTTACCATCCTCTGGTTCTTTCTTTTGTGAAGTAAACAGATCTTTATACACACTCCCTATAGACTTATATAAGAATCATGTTTTCACTTTTTGAAAATGATGCTTTGACAATTCCACTGAACAGGCTGGGGAAAATTTTATGAGAATTGTTGGATCCTGCTCAGAAGCAAAAAGATAAAACCAGGCTATCCTCTATCATGGCTGATCTGGGGTTCATTCCCAGAAATGAGGGTCTTGGATCAGGGTCAAATATGTGGGTGGGGTGGACTCAATTACTGAGATACCCATCTCATGAGGAAGGATGGGACCCATATTATGGGAAACAAAACAGGAAGAATGAGAGTGAAAAGATTAATCCTTTCACTAAATTGGGAAAACAGGAGAAAGTGTTGTTGGATAAAGAAGGAACTTTAGCACAATGAGCAGAGACAAGACGGTAAATGTTCCTTATCCAGTAATCTCTGATGAAAGGCCAGTGCTCACATCATTAGTAATGTCCAGAAATGATAATATCAGTAGTAGCAATACTCACAATGTAAATAAGTAGCTCTCATGTTTTGATTGCCAATAGTGCTAGCAACCTTACATGTATCACTCTCTACCCCAGCCCTGTTAATTGGTACTATGATGAAGAAAGAGACTCAAAGAAAATAAATGACTCACTCGCGTATTTTTACACAGCTAGAATTGCTACAGAAAGGATTAAAGCCAAGTCTATCCAAATCCACTGTCTATGTCCCTCCCTCCCTCCCTCCCTCCCTCCCTTCCTTCCTTCCTTCCTTCCTTGCTCCTTCCTTCCCTCCCTTTCTGCCTCCCTCCCTTTCTGCCTCCCTCCCTCCCTATCTCAAACATCTATTGAGTGTCTACCATGTGCCAGGCACTGTGTCAGGCTCTTGGGATACAGCAATAAGCCAAGTCCTTGCTTTCAGGGAGTTTACATTCCAGTGAGAGGGTCACAGAAACAAATGTATCTCTATGGCAGCAAGTGCTATGAAGAAAATCAGCTTCATTTTTATTGTTTCATGCCCATCATGCAGGTTTCCCACAGTCCATCATCCCCACTCCACCCCCCACCCAATGTAGTGCTTTCCTCTGTCCTGGAGAATCGGAAAGACTTCACAGCAACATCTGCAGTCCCTTTGTTTCAGTGACTTTGGCACAGAGAAGTGGACATGGTGGCAGACAAAGCTGCTGGAAGCTGTCAGGCTACTGGCAGCCAAAAGCTTAATCACACATTCCAAAGGCAGTGTGTGTGTGATGTTGCATCTCTGGCCCTGGAAGGGAGATAGAGGTCACCTTCTTGGGAGTCAGAGTTGGCCCCTCAGCTCCCAGGGGTTCAGCTGAGCAGCTTCAGAGGGCTGACTGCAGAGACCAGGAAGGGGCCATTCACTCTGATGGGAATTGGGAATCATTGATGCTCGAGCAACAGCTGAGTTAAAATTCATGCTAAGAAATCAGCATTCACATGTGTACATATTTAAGTCAGGATCTCAGTGAAGAGGGCATGACAGCAGTGAAAAGAGGTGCCAGACCTGAAGTAGGCTACCTTATGGTTGCTGCTTCACCTGTTGCTCTACACACACACACACACACACACACACGATTCCAGAAGATAGTGGGACAGTAGCAATTTGAAGGCTCTGCCAGAAAAGCATTTGCTTAAAGTGTTGGGAATTTTTTGTTGGATTGTTGTTTCATTCATAGGGCTTCTAAATTTCACTTTTGCATTTTAACCATTTCAAGGAATTCCCCCTGATTTTGAGTGTGAATGGGTACAAAAGACCAGGGGTTGTTAACCAAAAGCCTGGAACATTCAGGTGAACGGCTGTTCTGCAGGGAAGGAGGGAAACAGCAGGGTGAGATGGATGGTCAACCTTCAAAGGCCTTACACAGTCCCGGCCAGGATAATCTTCGCCTCTCCCTTCTGCTGGGGAAAAGTCTGGATTGCTAAGACCAGGGTCTCTATAGTGGCATCTCCAACACTCAGGCCGAGCTTCATGGCTGGGTTCCTGTTTTTTCATTTGCTCATGCCCCTCAGTGGTATCATCTGACTCAGCTCCTTTCCCTCCTGTTGGGCCAGTACTTACAGTGGGTCTCCTGATGAAGCTGAGGTCATGGGTTCATGAGCCCAATTATCACCATGCTGACCGCACCACTAACCTGGCTCCGTGTAGTTGCAAACTTGGCTGCACATTGGAATTCCTAGGGAGAGTTTTAAACATCCCAACGACCAGGCTGCAATGAAATAAGACCGATGAAATCAGGATCTCAGGGGTGGAATGGGACTGGTAATTTACAGAATCTCTCCAGCTGATTCCATATTCAGACAAGTTAGAGCACCAATGCCCTCAGTCCTGAGAGTGAGGGCTGGTCTCATGAATCCATTCACACAGATGGAAGTCCATCCTCACAGCGGTCAGGCCTCACACAACATCGGGCATGTTGGTAGGCATATGCCTAAGTTTCTGTGCAATGAATGCATGCCTTACTGGTGATGCATCAATAGCAAGGCATTCAGGGGAGAGAGTACCCTGCCTCAGTGCCTAGCATGAGACATACATCCAGGACCATGTTTTTATTCCCATCTTATGGATGAGAAAACTGAGGTTCAGAAAGGGTAGGCAAAATCCCCTAGCTCACCTGGCTGGAAGGGGGCAGAACTTCCCTGTACGTGCTGAGAACACCACTGTTCGAGCAGAGGGGAAACCTCTGCAAATTTCACTCTGTGTTCAGTGGGTGACTTGCCAAAATGACTTGCCAAAGCCCTTTAGGGCCAATAAATTAGAGTGTTTGCATCAAATTTCCATGCACAAGAGCCAACTCAAAACCTTAGATCCAATTCCATTGGTTCCCATAGCTCTGAAGTGGAGAGATGCTAGTAATAAATCCTACAGGCTGATGGCAGGACTTTGATATATAATATTAACTCTGATCTTGGTGGTGGTCTGACTCAAGACAGAGGGAATATTAAAAGCAGTAGTAATCCTTCTAAAAGTTCCATGCGCTTCTGCCCAGATATCCAGGGTTTCTGGCTGAATTAGCCTGCAGAAGCAATTGTGCAGATTAGGTGATGTTGAACCACGAGAAAGTGTCTTCCCACTTAGCAAATCAAGGGTCCATGGGATGGAGAGAAAGGAGGGAATAGAGTTTGTCACTTGGGCTGTACTGACCCCAGTGGTGATGTCTTCCCTTTGATGGGTGGTGTTGGGACAGCAAGGCAGTCATCATTTAGCCCACTAGTGCTAAGGCGGAAGGCATCCGCAGTGCATGGTCTGGCATCCCCAGGCAAAGACAAGAGGATGGGCCCTGCAGAGTGTTTTGGGTTAGAAACAAGCTGAGTGAACTGAGTGTTTCTTCAGGGAGCGCACTAAAGATGAGCCGACAAATCCACGACAGTGGGGAGTGAGGTGAGGCAGGGACACAAATCCACAGCTGACTCACCCAGCACATTCCCACCTCCTCAGCATAGAAAACCACAGGGACAAACTGACCAGAAGGCTATTCATCCATGGGTCTATCCCGTGCCTTGATCAGTCTTCCTAAATCCCACCTTTGCCAAAGTCACTCCAGTCTGTGAATTTTCCATGGCTTCCTGATGCATATGGAAAGACGTTCAGACTCCCAATCTGAGGTCCAATGCTCTCCAGAATTCCATCTTTCCCTACCTTCCTGGAATCATTTCCCATTGACTTGCCATCTACCTGGACAAGCTGGAATGGCTGCTTTGGCTGTCTTCTGAAAATGCCCTGAGGTGTCTCTGCCCCAGGCCTGTCTCCTGTGCCCCCAGAGCTGCCCAGGCCCCTGCTTCCTACAGAGACCAGCTCACAGTCTTCTTGTCAGTGGTCATCTAACAGTGGTCTTGTAAAAGCAGAGCAAGTTCCAATCTTATTTATAGCATTCAGCAGTTTTTTTTTTTTTTAGAGCTGGTGTCTTGCTCTGTTGCCCAAGTTTGAGTGCAATGGCTCAATCACAGCTTCACTGCAGCCTTGAACTCCTGGGCCCTAGTGATCCTCCTCTTTCAGCCTCCTGAGTAGCTGGGACCACAGGTATGCACCACCATGCCCACCTAAACACAGTCTACCTTTATGTGTGTGTGTCCATCCATCACCAGATGCTCACGGAAGGTAGGGCAGAAACATTTTGAAAAATAATTTTTACCTTTGAAGAGTAATCTTAATGATAACCTAGCAGGTGCTCAGATACATCGGGTCGATTCACTTCCTATGGCTGTGTAACAAATTACCACAAACTTGGTGATTTAGAGCAATGCCCATTTATTATCTCAGGGTTTCTATAGGTCAGAAGTTTGGGTGTTGCATGGCTGGATTGTCTGTTTAGGATCTCACAGGGTTGAGATCGGGGTAGCCAGGGTTGCTTCTCATCTGGGGCTCCAAGTCCTCTTTGCAAGCTCACTGGTTGTCAGTAGAATTCAGTTCCTGTGGTTGTAGGACTGAGGTCCCCATATTCTTCTTGCTGTTTGTCAGTCTGGGGTGCTCCCAGCAACTCAAGGCCACTCTCAGGTTGTTGACACAGGGTGCCAACATCTATCTTCAAAACCAGTAGGAGGATTTCTCTTGCACTGAATCTCTTTTGCATCTCTGACATTCTCAGTCTCTGACCTCTAGATCCAGATTTAAAGGGTTCACTTGATTCTGTCAGACCCACTCAGGACAATTATTTTGTTGTGCGTCCCTTTTTCTGGGAAGTGGGTCTACCACTTCTATCACGTTCTTAAAAGGGTCTGGGAATGTTCACCCATCACAGACATCCACACCAGGCCAGTTAAGTCAGAACTGCTGGAGATTCCACATTCTCCTGGGCAGCCTGGGTGGAGAACCACCTATGTGGAAGGAACACTGGGCTCCAAAGATAAGGGGCCTTGCATTTTATTTCATTACCAGTGTCTATTGGCTCTGAGACCTTACAGAAATCACTCAACTTCTCAGGGCCTCATTTGCAAACACGGATGATAATAGTAAGCTCCATCTCTCACGGTTGTTAGGAGGATTAAAAGTGTATAAAGATGCTCTGCAAGCTCTGAAGTATTAGCCAACCGTCTAGTCAGTGTGAAGAGACACTGAAAAGTGAGGTGGGACAGAGCATTTTAAGTGAAAAAGAAGGGAGAAGCTTATCTTTATCAAAGTTAAATATTAGATACTGAGTACTTTGTAAAGTCTGTTGCTGCTGGGGATCAGGCAAATTGTTATAACCTTCCTGGAAGGCAATTTCCCATAATTATCAGCAGTTTACAGAATATCCAAGCCATTTGACCCTAAGATAATGTTTCTAGGGATTTCTCTTAAGGATTTAATCAAGGACACATACACAGATTATAGCAGTTCAAAATTGGAACCCATCTATTTAACAATAAGGGATTGTTTAATTACACATGAAATATTATTTAAACTTGAACATTATATTGCCTTTAAATATTTGACATGGAAAGAAGCTTAAAACTCAGTCCTATTTCCTTATCAATGTTCTATCAACAAGGGGCAGGAGGTGTCACCTCCTTGGGAATCAGAGTTGGCCCCTCAGGTAGGTGTTTGGAGCTTCCTGGTAGGGGCTGGGGACAAAGTGTGGATGGGGCACCTGCTGGACCTGTGGCAAGATCATCAGGGATTGCTATTGGTCTCAGCAAGGGAGTGAGGCTGACCAGTTCTCAGCTGCATTTCAGAGAAGGATGAAATGCCCTAATCAGAAGTCAGCTCCCCTCATGACCCTGGAGGGAATTCTGCCCACTCACAGACTCTTTCTTATTCTGGGCCTCTGCTGTTATCTGGGTCTAGCTCCCTGTCACAGTCAGTTTGGGGACTGATCCTCCAGGAAAGTCCTGGGACCTCTCGGCAGGCTGAATGCTTCTCCTTTGTGACTCCCCTGCCATGGCGGTTGTGCCCCTTCTTACCTTCTACAGACACGACTTTTCATGGGCCTCTTCCTTTCTCCCCACCGGTAAATCACCACCCTTCAAAGGCAGGAACTGTCTCTATTTCATCTTAGTATCCTACGGGCCTGGCCCAGAGTAGATGCTCCAAAAAACTTGTCCTGAACTGAATGGGCGTGAAGCCGGGGCCTGTTGCACTGTGTTGTTGTGGGGTGGGGTGACTTCCAACCACACTGGGAGCCATCTCCCTCTCTCATTCCGAGGGAAGAGTCCGCAGCACAGATGGGTGCAACCCAATGTCAGGAGCTGACACTGTGATCAAAGAAAATCATTTCCATTGCTCCTGTAGACGAAAAGAGTCAAACTCAGTAAAATATTTGAAGAGATGTATTCTGAGCCAAATATGAGTGACCACGGCCCTTGCCATAGCCCTCAGGAGGTCCTGAGAACATGTGTCCAAGGTGGTCGGGGTACAGCTTGGTTTTATGCATTTTAGAAAGGCATGAGACATCGATCAAGTACATTTAAGAAATACACTGGTTTGGTCCAGAAAGGTGGGACCAAAGCAGGAGGAGAGGGGCGCTTCCAGGCTATAGGTAAATTTCAGTGAGTTTGTCTAAAGACCTGGGATCCATAGAAAGGGAATTTTCAAGTTAAGATAAAAGATGGTGGAGACCAAGGTTCTTTTGAAGTCTTATAGAGGCTGTCCTCAGAGACAATAGATGGCAAATGTTTCCTATTCAGATCTTTAAAAGGTGCTAGACTTGGCCAGGCACGGTGGCTCACGCCTGTAATCCCAGCACTTTGGGAGGCCCAGGTGGGTGTGGATCACAAGGGCAGGAGTTTGAGACCATCCTGGCCAATGTGGTGAAACCTCATTTCTACTAAAAATATAAAAATTAGCTGTGTGTGGTGGTGGGCGTCTGTAGTCCCAGCTACTCAGGAGGCTGAAGCAGGAGAATCGCTTGAACCCGGGAGGCAGAGGTTGCAGTGAGCCGAGATCATGTCACTGCACTCCAGCCTGGGCGACAGAGTGAGACTCCGTCTCAAACAAAAAAAAACAAAGTGCTAGACTTTCAGTTAATCTCTTTAGGATTGGGAGGGCCTGGAAGAAAAATATCTAGCTATGTTAATAGAGATTCTTTACAGATACAAATTTTCCCCCACAAAGGACAGCTTTGCAGGGCCATTTCAAGATATGGACAAAAAAGCCTATGTTTTGGGGTAAAATATTTTGATTTTCTTCCTTGTCTCATAATGTTATGACAGAGTCAGTTTGGAAAGTAAGTCACAATATATAGGGTTAAATAAAATCCATCTGATGAGAATTTATGGTTTGTAGGACATCACTCCCCAGACCCTTTAGATAGGGAATTTGGGTAAGATAAAAAAAAAAATCAGAGCTTAGTCTTCACTTGCAAGGGTGCCCCTGTGTTCCTCCACTCTCCATCCCCAAGCTGGGCTGGGATTTCTTGAGCCAGATGAGTTGAAGATGCTGCAAAGTTAAAATGGCCTTGCCTTCCTGTGCAGTCAGATGGAGCACCCCCTTCCCTCATCTGGGCCTGCTGAGTAGGGTCTCACTGATCCCCGCACTGTGTGTCCCTTAGACCTTTCCTGAGACCCAGCCCTTCCCCCGGTGGAAGGGAGAATTATTTGAAAAGTGTGGGTTTTGGTGTCAGACAGACTGGGACCCAGGTCTAGGCTACTGAACCAGTGAGCTGTGTGGCTTTGTGCATGCTATTTAGACACTCTGAGTTTTAATTTCCTAATTTCTAATTGCCAGACAGGTTGGTTGGGAGGAACAGCTTAGATTGACCTATGAAAGCATTTGTAGACTCGGAAGTGTTCTCATGGCACTTTGGATGAAATCGTTCCTGCTGCTTCAAACTACTGTGTGATGAGTTTCCAAAAATCATTGCCTGTGATCTGCAGGCTCGTTGTATGTCACAGATCACCAGATGTGCTTCCATTCCATGCTTGCTTCTGCAGTCCTGTTCTAAGCTCTGGCCTAATATTCTTCCCGCCCACGGAGCTCTTGCCACTGCCTCACCGCAGAGACTGGAACCCTGTCCTTTAACTCCCAGCTCAGAGTGTAGGGAAGTGTTTCTCAAAGTATTCTCTGTGTTATCTGCTTCCAAATTGCCTGGATATTGGTTAAAAACCAAACCTCTGGTTCCCCTTCCAGACTGAAGGATGAGAATTGGCTGTGGGAATGAGTGGGAATCTACGCTGTTGTGAAGTTCCCCACAGGGATCTCCTGCATCTTAAGGCTCAAAGGCCATGGACCTAGCCCCTGGATACTGGGCATAGGCATCTCAGATGCTGTCTGTTTCTTCACTTCCCTGACTGGCCTGGGCTCTGGGGTTGGGCCCTTCTCATTTCTGGATTTGTGATACTTGTCTTGTATCCCCTTTTATCATAGTGTGCTTTTGCTTACAAGTGAACAAAAACCCAATCCAAAGTGATTTAAACAAAAAGAGCACTTATTGTAAAAGTTCAGAATAAACTGCCTTCAGGCATGGCTTGATCCAGGGGCGCACACTGTGTTACCAGGAGGCAGTTTCTCTCTGCCTCCTCACTTGGCTACATTTTTCTCTCACTTGTGCATCCTGAGCCATTCACAGAGCTCAGGAGGATGAGTGTTCTGATGGAGCAGGGTACGCTGGTGGTTAGTGCCATCAAAAACAGAATGAGATAATGATATGGCTCAGATGACTGGAGGAGCACCAGGGTTCTTGGTCTAGCACACACTTGGATAAAATGACACAGACACACCTGGAGTGGTTTTAAGGAGCGAAAAGTTTAATATACAAGAAAGAAGGAAGGAAGAAGAAAACAGCTCCCCAGTACAGAGACAGAGGGAGAGGGGATTTGAACAGAGAGAAAACCCCGGTGGGGAGAAGGGATGTGGGGGGAGGGCGTGTGTGTGGTGTAATCAGCTAGTTATATGAGGAGGCTGGAGGAGGCGGTGCTGGCTTGCATAGGGCTCAGAGGATTGGTTTGACCAGGCAGGTCATTCACATAGCCTGCGAAAAAGCTGGCCCTCACAGTCTAGCCTTTTAAGAATGCAAATGCAGGGCGCCATGATGTTCTACACACGTGGGGATATGTGGGGGCGGCCATGTTGCCAGCCACCTGTTGGGGCAAGGAAGAAACCTGGAATCTCCATGTTTGGGTGGACTCAGTTTCCAGTGGCCTGCGTTTGCATATCAAAGCTTGCCAGTGGCTCTTAGAGCTGGCGCTCTCCTGTTAGACAAGAAAGGTTTCTGGATCTGCTTTAAAAGAAACAAAAACTTCCCAAGGACCTCTTTTCCTCTCTATCTGCCTAAAATAATTTCTTAATAACTCCTATAACAATAAGGGGGTGGTCCATTCCCACATGTAAATTGAGGCTTTTCCCAGAAATAGGGTGAATAGATGCTGAGTTACCCCAGTCAGCAAATGTCCATTTATCTCATTTGTGAACTCTGGACTCTGCACAGAGATTGTGGTGACACAGGCTGTCCTGTGACCCTGTGGCTGGGTCAGCTCCTGTGTCTGCGACAGGATGCCCTGAGTCCCCATGGATTCCTCAACCCCACACCCTGTCCTACTTTTAGCCAAGTCAGCCATGCCCCTCTGAGGGCTACGCTGCTTCAATAGGCCTGGCTTCCTAAGTACCTTTCATTATCACCCAGGCTCATACCCAGAAGCAAAGCAGAAATTTCTTTTGAGATCCAGGGTGGGAAATGGTCAGTTGAATTGAGTTGCAACCGAAGGTGAGGAAACGTCTTTTATGAAAACCCATTTCCCTCTGTCGGAGGTGATTTCAGTCACATTTTCCAAGCTCAGGATAATTTACCCCCTACCAGGGTGCACTGCAGAAGGTCTGGCTGGAAGGCCCCGAGCACAGGAGTTGATTGCTAGCTGCTAAGAGGCTGCGCTTTGTTCCCGAAGGAGAAAGCTGCAGGTTAAGAGAACATTCCCCACCTTGCCAGGGGTGACAAAGCAGGGGACTGCTTGAGGGCTGACACTGGAGTTAGAGATAATGAAAGGAGAGGAGGAAGAAGAAGCCAGGGCCTGGCTCAGCATCTCACCGCATTGGTGGGGAGAGGAGCTGCTCACCTTCTCGCACCTGTTGTTGGGCTGAGACAGATTTTCAGAGAGCAATGCCTCCTGGACAGAGGCTCTTCCCCACAGGGCAAATGTAATTAGATGAGAGAAAAACAAAGCTCTGAAACCCTAATTAGGTGCCAAGCCCTCAGGCTTTATACATCTAAACAGCTAAGGAACAGAGGATAAGATTCTCCAGTCGGCACTCCCTTGCCAGTCCTGGCTGAGCTAATGGTGAAGTGAGAGCTGTGCCACAGATCCCATGGTTGGCTTTTTGTTGTTGTTATTTCAGATGGAGTTTCACTCGCCACCCAGGCTGGAGTGCAGTGGTGCAATCTTGGCTCACCACAATCTCCGCCTCCTGGGTTCAAGTGATTCTCCAGCCTCAGCCTCCCGAGTAGCTGGGACTACCAGCGCCCGCCACCATGCCTGGCTAATATTTTGTGTTTTTAATAGAGACGGGGTTTCACCATGTTGACCAGGCTGGTCTTGAACTCCTGACCTCAGGTGACCTGCCCACCTCAGCCTCCCAAAGTGCTGGGATTACAGGCGTGAGCCACTGCACCTGGCCCCGTGGTTGGCTTTTACTCCTTCCATTCTGCCACCCTGAAGCTGATCCTCTGGAATTTGCTTGTTTTTGGTGTGTCCAGAAATGAAGGTCTATCAGTTCTTGAAATTGGGTTGTTTTAAGTAACTGATGTGCTGGGATGACAGTGAAGAAGACAAGATAGGGATTCCTCTTCCTAAACTTTAGGGCCTGAAGGGACTCCTCATTGACAGCAGATGGGATTTTTAATTTCACTCTGGGATGGAGGAAGTGGAGAGGTGATCCAGGCTGGATTGAAATCTCTCAAGCCTGGGAGATTTTGCCCAAAGACTTTTGACATGGGAACAGTAGAAACATTGGGAAAATTGGACTTTCAGGTCAGCATTCTGGGTATTTCCCCAGTCTTCCCAGGGTGGGATCATCTGGCCCCAGTTATGGGAATAAGACCACATAAATAGAAGATGACTTGGGAAGTCATCTTCCCAAGGTGTCAGGGAGGAGGTGGAGGACCACTGTTCTGATCAGCCTCCTTCAACCTCACAGTGGGGTTGGTCTCAGATGGTGCCCAGGAACCTGCCAGCAGCGGCACTTTGATGGCACCAAGATCGTGGGTGCAGGGACCCAGATTTGCTTCCTACTCATGTCTCCCTACCCACTGAAAAATGGAATATCAGTGAGGAATATCTTAGAGGGCTGCCTTTGCTCCTTTTGCCAGAGAACCAATATTGGTTATTAACAATTGGGCCACATCTGGTGTGCAGAAAAATGAATATTTTAATAGTGCTTCATAGGGTATCGTAGCATCTTATAAAAAGTGGCCCATCAAATTATTGATTCAATCATTTAAAATGCATTAGCAGAGGATGCCTATCAGACTAAGACATCCATGTTTCTGATCCAGTGAAAAGGGTCCAGGTAAGGAACACATATGAAGCCTCTTGGCATCCTTGTGTGAGCACGGTGCATGACGTGGCCATCAGTATCATTGTTTTCTTTGAGTTTTTGCTTGAGTGTTGAGATGTGTGAGGGATAGAAGATCCTTGTTTGCTTCTAGTCCTGACCTACACTGTCCATTAGGGAAATAATTTGTTTTCTTGAACCCATTATATGAATAATTTTGTTTTTAATCAATAGAAACAAATGGTCTTTATTTAACTAACAGAAAAAATTCCAATGAGGCCAGGCCACATAGGGGTTTCTGTAAATGTCATATCATTTCTCTTCTGTCCCCTCAGCTAAGAGTATAAAAAGTTCAGGCGACCTCCAGGGGCTTTTGCCTACTTAAATAGTATTACTTAGAGATGAGCTAGTACTTGGTTTTAAAAGTAATTTTTTTTTTCTTTTTTGAGACGGAGTTTCGCTCTGGTCGCCCAGTCTGGAGTGCAATGGCACAATCTCGGCTCGCTGCAAGCTCCACCTCCCGGGTTCAAGAGATTCTCCTGCCTCAGCCTCCCAAGTAGCTGGGATTACAGGTGCCTGCCACCATGCCTGGCTAATTTTTGTATTTTTAGTAGAGACGGGGTTTCACCATGTTGGGCAGGCTGGTTTCAAACTCCTGACCTCAGGTGATCCGCCTGACTGAGCCTCCCAAAGTGTTGTGATTACAGGCGTTAGCCACTGCTCCTGGCCCTAAAAGTAACAGTTCTAAGCTTTGTACTTACGACACCAAAAACATACAGACTGACATCTAAGTAATTAAGTCAATCATTAAGATATTTAGTTATGTCATGCAAAATAATAATCTCCAAGGAGTTCTCAAAGAATTCAGTAGTTTGATGTTATTGCCAGCACAGCCTTTACTGAGTCCTCTTATAAATCTTAAAGAAAAATTTAAGATTTTTAATTTTTAAAGATTTAAAAATTTTTAATTAAATTTTTTTTTTAGGGCTGGACTCTTGGTCTGTCGTCCAGGATAGAGGGCAGGGATGCCATCACTACTCACTATAACCTCAAACTCCTGGGCTCAAGCAATCCTCCCACCTCAGCCTCCGGAGTAGCTGGGACTACAGGCATGCCCCACCACATTCGGCTAATTTTTAAAATTTTTTTGTAGAGACAGGGTCTCACTATATTGTCCAGGCTGCTCTCAAAATCCTGGCCTAAAGTGATCCTCCTGCCTCAGCCTCCTGAGTAGCTGGGTTAGATCCTGGCAAATGAAAGGGCCCCAGCTTTGAACTACCTTTGGGGACGATCTCACTGCACACGGGTTCTCACACAGCACACCCCGTCACACACATGAACTCACACTGAGAACATATGAACACTACACACATGTTCTCACACAGCACACGCCCCGTCACACCCATGAACTCACACCGAGAACACAACATCACACACAGGGACTCACGCACAGAGGACATGTGAACACTACACACACGTTCTCACACAGCACACCCCGTCACACCCATGAACTCACACCAAGAACACAACATCACACACAGGGACTCACGCACAGAGGACATGTGGACACTACACACACGTTCTCACACAGCACACGCCCCGTCACACTCATGAACTCACACCGAGAACACAACATCACACACAGGGACTCACGCACAGAGGACATGTGAACACTACACACACGTTCTCACACAGCACACACCCCGTCACACCCACACCCCCACATGCCTAGACACACACATCCTTACTCTGCGTGCATCCCTGGCCTGGTGGACGGAAGATCGAGCGCTCTGGGTGGACTTACGGCCACAGGACGGGGGCAGAGTCGGCAGGGAGGCCCCTCCGAGGCCCAGTGGGCCCTGCGCTGGCCCCGGCCGCAGACGCCCACCTGCTGCTGTGCTGGCTGCGGCGTGTGCCCCGGGCTCTGCGGCTGACCTGGCCTCCACGTCTCACCCATGAAGCAGGCATGAAAGGCTGGCCAGGTTGGCTAAATGGGACCACAGCAGAAGCATGAGCCCCAGAATGTGCACGAAGGAAGAGAGAGCCGGGGGAGGTGGCGGGCTGGGTGTGCAGAGTGGGCCTGAGCTCCGGCCTCCTCCCTGGACGCCCTCCCGTGGCCGCAGCCATCCCCGCACCCACTGGTGTGGCCTGACCCTTCACCCTGAGCCCACCCTTCGCGGCCACTAGGGAACCTCAGGAGAGGCCGCCGCGGTGGGGTGGGCGGATTCCCCCGGAGCAGGCCCAGGCCCCTGCTCCTGAGCTCTCCTGCAGCGCCGTCTGCTGGCCACAGAGAACCCACGTGCGCCGGCCGCCAGGCCTGGGCATCTCCTCTCCTGCAGCGCCGCCTGCTGGCCACAGAGAACCCGCGTGCGCCGGCCGCCAGGCCTGGGCATCTCCTCTCCTGCAGCGCCGCCTGCTGGCCACAGAGAACCCGCGTGCGCCGGCCGCCTGGCCTGGGCATCTCCTCTCCTGCAGCGCCGCCTGCTGGCCACAGAGAACCCGCGTGCGCCGGCCGCCTGGCCTGGGCATCTCCTCTCCTGCAGCGCCGCCTGCTGGCCACAGAGAACCCGCGTGTGCCGGCCGCCAGGCCTGGGCATCTCCTCTCCTGCAGCGCCGCCTGCTGGCCACAGAGAACCCGCGTGCGCCGGCCGCCTGGCCTGGGCATCTCCTCTCCTGCAGCGCCGCCTGCTGGCCACAGAGAACCCACGTGCGCCGGCCGCCTGGCCTGGGCATCTCCTCTCCTGCAGCGCCGCCTGCTGGCCACAGAGAACCCGCGTGCGCCGGCCGCCAGGCCTGGGCATCTCCCCGGGCCCTAGTTCCCCCCCTCACCTAAGGGGAGGGACTCCCGTCTTTCCATCCACCCCCTCCTTGCCTCTGCAGAGCTCCAGGGAAGGCTGGCACCCGCTCACTGCATTTAGACTCCATCAGGTTCAGACAGTGGGTCAGGGTACAAGGCTTCAGTGGCCAGGGATGTGGCCTCTAATTTGTAGAGAGAAAGAAGGGCAGAGGCAAAGGTTTGGGCCCAGGGACTGGGCTCCGTTTCCAGAATCACTCTTGGAGCTGGTGAGCAGAGGGCTGGACACTGCCCTCCATGACCAGCACTGCCCTCCACCCTAGCTCACTCCCCTAGCTGGCCCAGGGGTTCAGGCTTTCCTTTCATAAAGTGGGGTCGAGGAAAGGCAAAACCTCCTCCCCTGGGCCACACGAACCGTGGTGCACAGGCTCCCACTAGGTGGGCCAGTCAGCTCATCCCATGGACACACCAGGGGCATCGAGAAAGGAATAGCGACCTGAACCCCATACCCGAAGGGTGGCCCTCAGGACCCCCAAGGCAGGGAACAGGCTGCAGAGGGTTTGGGGGAGCATCTTGGTGCATAGAAAACAAACACTCTGGGAAGCCGCTGTGAGTGTGTGTGGCTCTCAGGCCTGTTCTGTCCTGGGTGCGCTGCGTTCCCCAGGCGGCACCATCTCTCTGCCTCTGTACCCTTGAATTCCCTCTGCCTGCACCCGGTCCCCACCCACCTCCTGCCCAGCCCCACAAGCCCTTCCAGACCACTGCTGGGGCATTCCTGGGCCCCCTCGGTTCTTGGTGACTACCATGCAGTTCTCTATGGAAACTGACTCTCACTGAAAACAAGTGTAACCGTCTACCTAAGAGACTCACACAGAGTTCTCAGCCAGGTCTCCAGGACAATCAGACGCAACTTGTCATTCTCACTCATCCCATCACCCGACTAGCTTCTCAGCCCAGCCCTGGGGGAGGTTTTCCCCTTACTTGAAATGTCTCTTGGATTTGAAAAATCCCAGCGTTCACCCCTGGTGCCGACACTTGCCTCTGTAACCTTCTGCCTGCTGCTTTGCTCTCATCCAGACCGGTTGGCACTTGGCCCCCTCTGGCCAGCTGGTTCCCCAGAGACAACCATCTTGCCCACCTTGTGGAAGGCCCCATGGCCTGCCTCACCCCTCACTCCCATTTCACAGCTCTCGTGGTGCTCTACAAGAAAAATCTGCTTTATAGATGAGGAAAGACCCTTGGGGCAGACAAGACAGTCCCTGTTTGACATAATTCCTTTATCTCTTCTCCCCCAGCTCTGCTGCCCCCTGCCCCATACACGTGATGGAGCAGAAAACGTGCTGTGTGAACCTGTGACTTCAGGGCCTGTTGACGTGGTCGTGCTTGCATACTCTCTGGTGAGGGGTGGGGAGAGGGGGTGGGAGACGGGTAGAAATAGATGAAGTAGATGATGGGTGGATTGCTGGCTAGATAGATGATAGATAGGGATAGGTGGTATATGGGTGATAGGTAACAGGTGATGGATAGATGATAGAAATAGATGATGGATAGATACTTGATAGGCAAATTAGATAATAGATAGCAATAGATGAACTAGATGATAGATGGAAAGGTAGGTAGGTAGATATATGATAGATGGTTGATAGATAAAAATAGATGAAATAGATGGCATGGTTAGATAGGTGGGTAGGTAGATAGATGACAGATAGAAAGACAATAGACCACTGGGGGCTGAGCCTGGCCTGAGCCAGAAAGGTGAGAAGGGGACAGCGGTGAGGACCCCACAGGTCCCTGCTCTCACCCCTATTAGCCCCAGTGTTTGGCCTGAGCTCTGACTGACAGCTCCCTCTTTCCGAGATGAGACTCAAGAGGAGGAAGAGGGGACTTCCTAAGGACAGGGATTCTTGGTGTCTCCTTGGGGGTGGTAGACACTGCCTGCCTCGCCTGCTGTGGCCTCTCTGCACACAACCAACGACCCCTAAAGGGCTCCATGGGCGCCCATGCTGCCCCCATCAGCTGACACCCCCTGTGCGAAGATTCTCCTCCTCCTCTTCCTCCTGCCTTTCTGTCCCCTCATCCTCCTCTTTATGGAATTAACTTCCCTTGGTCAACATCTTCCTGCTTCACTCACTTCCCTAAACTCCTCCCTATCCCTTCTCAATCTGCAAGAAAAATGTAGAAAGAATATGGTAAAGGAAAGCTTTGAGCCCATATTTGGGTCCAATGCCGACACCACATGCCCCAAAGCCCCCTTGAGAGCATCCACGTCCGTGTAGTTGAGTATTGCCCGAGCTGGAGTGAGATTTGCCTCTCTACGGAGCTGCCTTCCTGCAGTTCAAGAGCACTGTCTCTTTTCTGGGCCTCCTGCCTGGTGCAAGGGCCCCAGCTGAGCCTCCTCCAGCTCTGACCTCTGGTGGTTCCGGGCTGCCCCAGAGGGTCTTGCCCAGGCTCTGACACTTGGCATGGTCTGGGAGCTCCAGCAGCCACAGCCCAGCCCTGGGGAGGCTTTGTGGTCTCTGAGGGGGCAGGTGCACTCCCCCAACTCCAGTTCATGTTTTTCCCTCCAACTCTAAGCCTTTTTCTTCCTCTGCTATTACCCAGGCACCCTACCCTGTCAACAACACTGGCCTTCAAGACCCTTTGTAGCATAACTCCCACCTATAACTCCCACCTGAAGCCAGCCCTTCCCACCTCTGCGCCTCTGATGCCCAGGACAGCTCTGACCATGGGCAGCTCTGACCCAGGACAGCTCTGACCTTGGGCAGCCCTGATCTGGGGCAGCTCTGACCTCGAGTAGCTGTGACCCTGGGCAGCTCTGACTCTGGGTAGTCGTGACCCTGGGGAACTCTCAGCACGGGGGTTGCATGCTCCTGTTTAGACAGCTGCTGTCCCCCAAGCTGGCTCACTATCCCATGTTGGAGTGCACTGTTCGGGGCTGCCTGCCTGGATTGATGCAGGGAAACTTGGTTCCAGCCCACCTCCTCCTGCGGAGGCTGAGTCAGGGGCTCTTCCCTCGGCCAGGCTGAAAGGCAGCTGTTGGTCCCCCTGTGAGGTCTTCCACATGGCCTGGGAGAGTCTCCCCATCTCTTCAGGCAGAAGGGAGGACAGTCCATAATGTTCCTTCCAGTCCTCTGACTTGTCATTTTTCTACCCCAAATCTTGCACTTTAACCCCATAGAGAGCTCCTGAAGGGGGAATTTTAACTGGCAAAACTCAGAACTCCATCCAAACACAACCGAAACCATCCTGGGTGGCTTAGAGGTGGCTGCCTCCCAGACAAGTCCATAGCCCCACAGAAACGTCTGGTCCTTCACCTGCCAGAGCTCAGGCTTTTTGGTTGAAGCCGGAGACAGGCCCAGCTCAGAGTGTGCCCCGGTTTATCCTGAACACCGACTTGGTGCGGTGTGTGTGACAGACCAGCGAAGCGGGTCTTGCTGCCTGTCCTGTGGTTGGCCCTTGGCTCCCAGCCTCGAGTCCTACCCTTAGGCCAGGTCAGAGCAGGTTCAGCAGCAGGACTGGCTAGGCACCACCCAGGCTCATGAGGTGGCTTTGTGGGGAGGAAATGAGGTTTTTTTTTTTCCTCTTGTAAAGTTGCTTGTTGTTAATTTAAAATTTTAATTTCATTTCTGAATTAACATTCAGCAAAACTGCTATTTTTTGGTGTACAGTTCTATGAGTTTAACACATTTATAGATTCATGTAGCAACACTGTGGATACAGAACAGTTACATCACCCCCAGAACTCCGTTCACAGTCACGCTCCCCGACCCAGCCCCGGCAGCTCTCCCTGTGGTTTGTCTTTTGCAGAGGAAATCCCGCAGCTGGCGGCACCTGGAGACCGGCTCCTCGCCGAGCCGACCGCGCGTGCGCGGCTCCCTCCTCGTCCGTGCTGAGCGCCGCGTGGGGTTCCGCGTGGAGGCGCCTGTGCCGCTGAAGCGTGTTTGGGTTGCTTCCAGGGTGGGATGGTTGTTGGATAGAGCTGTTTGTGCATTTGCGTTGTAGGTTTTTGTGTGAACATAAGCTTTTGTTTCTCTCGGGTACATACCCAGAAGTGCAATTGCTGAGTCATGTGGGAAGCGTGTGCCCAACTTTACAGGAAAACACCACAGGCCGCCCCTTCGCTTTGCGCTCCCGCTAATCGGGAATGAGTGCCTGCTGCTCCGCGTTCTTGCGGGCACCCAGCATTTTCCGTGCTTACATTTCAGCCATCCCGGAATGAATGAAAAGCGTTTCCTAGTGGCTGTAATTTGCATCTCCCTGGTGGCTGATGGAAGCTTATTTCCCATCCATATCCCTTGCTTGGTGACGCATCTGTTCAAGTCCTTCCCCGGTTTGTAACTGGATTATTTGGTGTTTTTACTGTTGGATTTTGAGAGTTCTTTATGTATTCTAGATACAATTCCTTTGCCAGATATGAGATTCACAAATATTTTCTCCAACTCTATGTCTTGTGTTTTCATTCTCTCAACAGTGACTTTTGCAGCATTCATAGGGATTTTATGTTTTCTTCTCAAAGTTTTATAAACCACTATATTTAAAATTTTAATTTAAAAACTATAAACCTATTATAGTTTTTAAATTAAACTGTAAACCTCTTATATAGATTTTCTGTTTAAACTTATGATTCCTTTTAAGTTAATTATTATGTAAGTTGTGAGGGTTGGGTCAAGGCATTCCTTTGCTTAAAATCCCCAGCTTTTCATTTCTCTCAGACAGAAGTCTTGACCTGCAGGGTCAGGCTCCCCTGCTCTCTGAGCTCGCCCTCCCCACGCAGCGCTAGCCCCTGGACTATTCTCACCACTCAGGCCTTGGCCTCCATACCCGCTTGGCACCCACCAAAGGGTCCGGGGACCCCTCCACAGGGCAGCGTTCTGTCTGTGAGGTGAAGCGGGAGCAGAGGGCCAGGCAGAGCCAGGCTGGGACCCAATCTCTGCTTCAGGCTGGTCTTTTTTTTTTTTTTTTTTGAGACGGAGTCTCGCTGTCGCCCAGGCTGGAGTGCAGTGGCGCGATCTCGGCTCACTGCAAGCACCGCCTCCCGGGTTCACGCCATTCTCCTGCCTCAGCCTCGCGCGTAGCTGGGACTACAGGTGCCTGCCACCATGCCTGGCTAATTTTTTGTATTTTTAGTAGAGACGGGGTTTCACCGTGTTAGCCAGGATGGTCTTGATGTCCTGACCTTGTGATCTGCCCGCCTCGGCCTCCCAAAGTGCTGGGATTACAGGCGTGAGCCACCGCACCTGGCCAGGCTGGTCTTTTTTGCCAGAGTTAGTGTTGTATTGAGGGACATGGAGGGAGAAAAGGGGGTCAGTTAGGGGCAAGTTTACTTGTGCAGGTAACCAGGGTGAGGGCTCGAGGGGAGAAGAGAGATAAGGAGGGCAGAGCTCAGCCAAGTTGGCCTGATGACATGACCAGAATGTGATCACTAGATCCCCTGCCTGGAGGCCCAAGTGTGGCCCCAGGTCTGGATAGTTGCAGCCACTGTGGGGAAGCTTCAGTTTGGGAGCCACAGAAACCAAGAATATTGTCTGGGAAGCTGATGTGCAGAGAGGAGAATGGAGCGGATGGAGGTGCGGTGGGGGAGAGAGACAAAGAGACAGAGAGGAGAGTAAAAGCCTGTTGCTGGCTCCACTATGTTGGGCTTGTCAGCCCAGCTTCTTCTTGTCCCATCCATAAAATGGGCTGGTGTCGCCCATCCTGGTTAGGAGGCACAAGGAAGTGTTGCGCTGTGTGCTCGGCCCAGCTGACTCAGCAGCTCTCCAACCTTGGGGACTCTCCAGACAGGTGTGTGCAGGTGAGGTGCTGGACCAAGGAAGGGCAGGTGGAGGACATGGCCGAGGGGAGCTCTGTGAGCTGAGCTGCCTGCTTCGAGGGTGCCCTTGAGGCCCAGGACTGACCCCTGGAGGGAGAGGCTTCCTTCCTTCTGTTGGGGCTCAGAAAACAACGCCCCAAAATGAAGTCCTCAGCAGCAGCCTCAGAAGCAAAAGTTGTCTCTGACCTTCTCCTGCCCTCCTGTCTCTCAGTCTCATTCTCCCCGAAGGCGCTGTAGAAACCAGACTCTCTTTTTCCCCAAGGCCGGTCACAGAAATCAGAACCCCTTCTCCCCAAAGCTGGTCAGAAAACCTAAAAATATTACTCAGTTTTCCGTCTACCTTTCTATATAAGAGCTGACTAGAGAGAAATGATCCAACATCCCTTGTTTGACTGTAGGTCATGAGACTGTCATTCCAGAGAGGGCCCTGCCCCACGTCCAGAGAAGAAAATGCTCAGAGACGAAGACAAATCTAGACAGACCTTGCTGGGTTCCCACTCAGTCTATTCACATTAGATCAAGCCCTTTGTGTCCAATCCTTTTTTTAGAGGACTGTTCATACGTTATTAAACCTAAACATAAAAATGGACAATTTCCCCCATCGTTGGGTCTTCGTTCTAAAGGTTCTTATATGTACACATCACATAAATTTGCATACCGTTTCTCCTATTAATCCATCTGTCTCATGTCAGTGACTTCTCAGCAAACCTTTAGGGGCCAAGGGGCCCCACACTCTCCAGCGGCAGGCACAATGGGCCTGGGGTGCAGTTGTGGACACTCGGACCCTCCTTGGAGCTGGTTTAGCTGTGCTGTGTGCTTGTGGGAATGGATTGCCATGATTTCTGGGCTCTAATAAATTGTGCTTCAATCGACTCTTGAGGAGTTAATGAGAGGCCTCACTTCAGACCATAAACACCCTCCCTGTGTGGGATAGAAACACACATCGTCACAGCCAGGAGGTCAGTCGGGTGAGGGTCTGCTTTGCTTACAAGGTCCAGAAACCCAGCAGAAAACCCTCGAGGCCACATCAGTGAAGAGTAACTTATTTCAGCAACATTTCCATGTGTGACACAAGACACACATTTCCTGCATCCACCTTTAAAGTCAAGAAGTTGAAGCTGAATAAAGCCAGCAGGCAGCGAAAATCACCTGCACTCAGTTCAGTTGTGGCAGGAAAGGGAAAGAGCCATGAAGAAAGGAGAGGGGGATGGAGAGGGAGAAAGGAGAGGGGGATGGAGAGGAGAAAGGAGAGGGGGATGGAGAGGGAGAAAGGAGAGGGGGATAGAGAGGAGAAAGGAGAGGGGGCTAGAGAGGAGAAAGGAGAGGGAGATGGAGAGGGGGATGGAGAGGGGGATGGAGAGGAGAAAGGAGACGGGGATGGAGGGGGGATGGAGAGAAGAAAGGAGAGGAGGGTGGAGAGCGACAGCTGCAGAGGGAGGCAGGGAGGCTGGCTGGGCGTGGACAGCTGCAGAGGGAGGCAGGGGAGGCCGGCTGGGCATGGACACTGCAGAGGGGACACAGCCACTCTGGGAACAGCAGCCAGTGGCGGATCTGCCTGGAATGCTGTTCCCTCCTGTCCAGGATGGGCCTGTCTCTGCAGACAGGGGCCCTCCCCTTCCTGGCCTGGCTGTGCACTCCCCATGTGCATGGTGGAAGCTCTGCAGAGGCCGTTCTGCTCCAGAGTGGGGCATAGCCTCGGGCGAGGTTCACAGCTTGGGGGGCTGGTCCTGCCCTGTCCCACATGTGGCTGTGTGGGCAGCATGGATCTTCTTCCGCGGTGACCCTGTGTGCCCACCCCCCCCAACTTATGCCTGCTTCCCAAGGCCATGGGCCTCACCCTCAGACTTCACTTTTGTGTATATGGAAAGACACAATTATCGGGACAGAAACAGATCAGTATTTGCCAGTGGGTGAGTGAGGGGAGAGGAGTTTACTACCGAGGGGCCGAACTGGGGCCATTTTTGAGGGATGAAAGTCTTCTGTGTGGCTCTACAGAGTTGGGTACGTGATGCTGTGCTTGTCAAACCCCACAGGACTGGACCTCACTGTGGGAACAACAAGATCAACAAGAGGAGCAAGAACAACATCAAGAGTCAGGGCCCGGGGGTCCTGACGGGTACAGGACGGGTACAGACCCACACAGGAATCCCAGAGTGTGTTCCACAGCAGGACACGCCTGCGCTGAAAGAGTGGGCAGAAAGGAGCTGACCTGGGTAAGTCCAAAAACAGTGTTTTGATTAGATTCTGGAAAGAATCAAATAACTCTGCATATCTAAGCACTAAACTCCAATTGGTAAAATTGTTTCCCACAGCAATACATGTTAGCAACTTTGAAACTACTTTTATATATACTAAGGTTTCACAAATAAGTCAATACAGTAGTAAGAGTCAGGGTTCTCACAGCTGGATAAGGAAGTCATGGAAAAGCCAGCGGGGACCCTGAGGTCCATATATAATATATATTATACATATATACAGATCAGAATGGACCCTAAGGTGGTCGGTTATAGACAGATATGCCAGCAGGAACTCATGTTTACATGATACATATATACAGATCAGAATGGACCCTGAGGACCATATATAATATATATTATACATATATGCAGATCAGAATGGACCCTGAGGTCCATATATAATATATATTATACATATATACAGATCAGAATGGACCCTAAGGTGGTCGGTTATAGACAGATATGCCAGCAGGAACTCATGTTTACATGATACATATATACAGATCAGAATGGACCCTGAGGACCATATATAATATATATTATACATATATACAGATCAGAATGGACCCTAAGGTGGTCGGTTATAGACAGATATGCCAGCAGGAACTCATGTTTACATGATACATATATACAGATCAGAATGGACCCTGAGGTCCATATATAATATATATTATACATATATGCAGATCAGAATGGACCCTGAGGTCCATATATAATATATATTATACATATATACAGATCAGAATGGACCCTGAGGTGGTCAGTTATAGTCAGATATGCCAGCAGGAACTCGTGTTTACATGATACATATATACAGATCAGAATGGACCCTGAGGTGGTCGGTTACAGTCAGATATGCCAGCAGGAACTCGTGTTTACATGATACTTATATACAGATCGGAATGGACCCTGAGGTGGTCAGTTATAGTCAGATATGCCAGTAGGAACTCGTGTTTACATGATACATACATACAGATCAGAATGGACCCTGAGGTGGTCAGTTATAGTCAGATATGCCAGTAGGAACTCATGTTTACATGATACATATATACAGATCAGAATGGACCCTGAGGTGGTCGGTTATAGTCAGATATGCCAGCAGGAACTCGTGTTTACATGATACATATATACAGATCAGAATGGACCCTGAGGTGGTCGGTTACAGTCAGATATGCCAGCAGGAACTCGTGTTTACATGATACTTATATACAGATCGGAATGAACCCTGAGGTGGTCAGTTATAGTCAGATATGCCAGTAGGAAATCATGTTTACATGATACATATATACAGATCAGAATGGACCCTGAGGTGGTCGGTTACAGTCAGATATGCCAGTAGGAAGTCGTGTTTACATGATACATATATACAGATCAGAATGGACCCTGAGGTGGTCAGTTATAGTCAGATATGCCAGCAGGAACTCATGTTTACATAATACATATATACAGATAGGTTAAATATATACACACACACGTGCGTGTGCATACATGGCTTAGCACACACATCTGTAGATCCTGGGTTTGTCCTTTGAGAGGGGACACCCCAGTAGCAGCAAGCACATTCCATGCCCAGATGTTAGTTTCTAAATTTCATCTTCAATAAAAGGAGCCAAGTCTCCCTGGAGAAATGGCTGATAATTGGGATGTGGGAGAGAAAATACAAGATGAACCTGGAGCATCTTGTAGTCCCAGGAAGTAAGAAAATGCTCAAAAATAAAATTTTTAAAAAGCTGTGGGCATTTCAAAAGGGCATGGAACCCAAAATGTAAGAGCTCCCAGTGGCCACAGCTACAATGATTTGAGTGCACACACACTCACACAGACATACACACACACACACACACAAATCGGATTATGCCCCAAAGAATAAAATGAATGTCCATGGATTTGTAAGCATATAAATAAATTATTGAATAAATTAAAACTGAAAGGGTAGCCGGGCGAGGTGGCGAGCGCCTGTAGTCCCAGCTACTCGGGAGGCTGAGGCAGGAGAATGGTGTGAGCCCGGGAGGTGGAGCTTGCAGTGAGCCAAGATCACGCCAATGCACTCCAGCTGGGGTGACAGAGCAAGACTCTGTCTCAAAAACAAAACAAAACAAAACAAAACAAAAAACTGAAAGGGACAGGCCTTTCTTGGAACAAATTCCAAACAAGAAATGTGGAGTAAATAGGGAAAATCACCATCAGGCTGGGCACAGTGGCTCGTGCCTGTAATCTCAACACTTCGGGAGGCTGAGGCAGGTGGATCTCCTGAGGTCAGGAGTTCGAGACCAGCCTAGCCAACATTGTGAAACCCTGTCTCTACAAAAAAATACAAAATTAGCTGGGCCTGGTGACACATGCCTGTAATCTCAGCTACTTGGGAGGCTGAGGCAGGAGAATCGCTTGAACCCGGGAGGTTGCAGTGAGCTGAGATTGTGCCACTGCACTCCAGCCTGGGCAATAAGAGCAAAACTCTGTCTCAAAAAAAAGAAAGAAAGAAAGAAAAGAAAAGAAAAAAAAGAAAATCACCATCAGTGCTGCAGGCAAGCTCCCCTGAGGAATGCTAAAATTCCTGTGCAAAGTTTAAGGAGAAAGAAGATATTTGTATACTGTCAAAGTGTCTCCCCTAAATGTTCAGTAATTACCATGGTGCCCAAATTCTTTGATGCTCCTTCCTGTGGGAGTTGGAGCTCATGCTGGACTTCATGACTCACTCTTAACCAGCAGGACATGGAGAGGAAAACAGTCACTCTCCCGTGGGGAGACCTGGCAGGCCTCACCTTGGCCGTGTGATCAAGGTCCAGACCACCAGTGATGAGGCATGTTGACATCGTGGCCCCTGAGAGCACGTGATGAGAAGAGCGCTCCACCTCTGCCGTGTTCTTACGCAAACGCACAGTTCCAGTGTAATCAGAGAGAACATCACACACACACCAATTGAGGGGCATCTTGCAGAATACCTGAGCAGCACTCTGCAAAGCTGTCAAGGCAGTGAAACGAAGACAGGCCAGGAAAGGGTCACAGGTGCAGGGGACTAAGGAGGCGTGAGGGCCAGTGCAGCCTGGGGTCCTGGACGTGAGCTGCTGAGACGGCACCCGCGTGAGTGTCGCAGTTTCCACACCGTGAGCTGCTGAGACGGCACCCGCGTGAGTGTCGCAGTTTCCACACCGTGAGCTGCTGAGACGGCACCCGCGTGAGTGTCGCAGTTTCCACACCGTGAGCTGCTGAGACGGCACCCGCGTGAGTGTCGCAGTTTCCACACCGTGAGCTGCTGAGACGGCACCCGCGTGAGTGTCGCAGTTTCCACACCGTGAGCTGCTGAGACGGCACCCGCGTGAGTGTCGCAGTTTCCACACCGTGAGCTGCTGAGATGGCACCCGCGTGAGTGTCGCAGTTTCCACACCGTGAGCTGCTGAGATGGCACCCGCGTGAGTGTCGCAGTTTCCACACCGTGAGCTGCTGAGATGGCACCCGCGTGAGTGTCGCAGTTTCCACACCGTGAGCTGCTGAGATGGCACCCGCGTGAGTGTCGCAGTTTCCACACCGTGAGCTGCTGAGATGGCACCCGCGTGAGTGTCGCAGTTTCCACACCGTGAGCTGCTGAGATGGCACCCGCGTGAGTGTCGCAGTTTCCACACCGTGAGCTGCTGAGATGGCACCCGTGTGAGTGTCGCAGTTTCCACACCGTGAGCTGCTGAGATGGCACCCGTGTGAGTGTCGCAGTTTCCACACCGTGAGCTGCTGAGATGGCACCCATGGGAGTGTCGCAGTTTCCACACCGTGAGCTGCTGAGATGGCACCCGCGTGAGTGTCGCAGTTTCCACACCGTGAGCTGCTGAGATGGCACCCGCGTGAGTGTCGCAGTTTCCACACCGTGAGCTGCTGAGATGGCACCCGTGTGAGTGTCGCAGTTTCCACACCGTGAGCTGCTGAGATGGCACCCGTGTGAGTGTCGCAGTTTCCACACCGTGAGCTGCTGAGATGGCACCCATGGGAGTGTCGCAGTTTCTACACCGTGAGCTGCTGAGATGGCACCCGTGTGAGTGTCGCAGTTTCCACACCGTGAGCTGCTGAGATGGCACCCGTGTGAGTGTCGCAGTTTCCACACCGTGAGCTGCTGAGATGGCACCCATGGGAGTGTCGCAGTTTCTACACCGTGAGCTGCTGAGATGGCACCCACGTGAGTGTCGCAGTTTCCACACCGTGAGCTGCTGAGATGGCACCCGTGTGAGTGTCGCAGTTTCCACACCGTGAGCTGCTGAGATGGCACCCACGTGAGTGTCGCAGTTTCCACACCGTGAGCTGCTGAGATGGCACCCGTGTGAGTGTCGCAGTTTCCACACCGTGAGCTGCTGAGATGGCACCCGTGTGAGTGTCGCAGTTTCCACACGTGCATCATTGCTGTGTAAGATGCTCAAGTGAGAGGAAGCTGGTGAACGGGTCTGTGGGAAGTTGCAGTACTGTCTTTGCAACTCTTCTGGACATCTTTTTTTTTTTTTTAAATAAAACATTTTTAACATGAAAATATGCAGAGCACGGTGGCTCGCACCTGTAATCCCAGCACTTTGGGAGGCCGAGGCAGGTGGATCATGAGGTCAGGAGTTCAAGACCAGCCTAGCCAACATGGTGAAACCCCGTCTCTACTAAGAATACAAAAATTAGCTGGGCGTGGTGATGGGCATCTGTAATCCCAGCTACTCGGGAGGCTGAGGCAGGAGAATCACTTGAACCCGGGAGGCAGAGGTTGCAGTGAGCCGAGATCGCGCCCCTGCACTCCAGCCTGGGTGACAGAGCAAGACTCCATCTCAAAAAAAATAAAGGAAATATGCGTCGTTGGATGCTGTATGACAATCAAGCTACTTATAACAAACAAAATTGAGAATGAAGGTAAATTAAAAATAATTTATAGTCTTTAAAAAGCAGGAACTACAAAATTTACATTTCTGAAAATGGCAGAAAAATCCCACATGGCTGTATATGTATGTGTGAGATTGTGTATGAATGAGCGCATGCATATATTTTTGTGTGTTTGGATTATATGTGTGACGGTGTGCATGAGTGTGTATATGATTTGGGGGTATGTGTGAGTGTGTATGACTGTGTGTATGAGTGTGTATGATTTGTGTGTGTGAGTGTGTACATGTATACACTAGTGTGCGTATGATTTGGGGGTATGAATGTGAATGTGTACATATGTATTTATGATCTGAGTGTGTATGAGTGTGAATGTGAACATGTGTGTGTGAGTGGGTATATGATTTGGGTGTGTGCAAGTATGAATATGTATTGTGTGCATTAATGTGTATATTTTGGGCTGTGTATGAGTGAATGTGAACATGTGTGCACGAGTGTATATATGATCTGGGTGTGTATGAGTGAGCATGAGTGAACATGTGTGCATGAATGTGAGTATGATTTGGGTGTGTATGAGTGTGAATGTGTGCACGAGTGTATATATGATCTGGGTGTGTATGAGTGAGCATGAATGTGAACATGTGTGCATGAATGTGAACATGTGTGCATGAATATATGATTTGGGTGTGTATGAGTGTGAATGTGTGCACGAGTGTACAATCGGTGTGTATGAGTGAGCATGAATGTGAACATGTGTGCACGAGTGTATATATGATCTGGGTGTGTAGGAGTGAGCATGAATGTGTATGCACAAGTGTGTGTATGTGTGTATGATCTGGGTGTGTAGGAGTGTGAATACGAACACGTATGCACAAGTATGTATATGATCTGTGTATGTATGAGTGAGTGTGAATGTGTGCATAAGTGTGTGTATGATCTGGGTATGAGTGATTGTGAATGTGAGCATGTGTGCACGAGTGTGTATATGATCTGGGTGTGTGGGAGTGAGCATGAATGTGTATGCACAAGTGTGTGTATGTGTGTATGATCTGGGTGTGTAGGAGTGTGAATATGAACACGTGTGCACAAATGTGTATATGATCCGAGTATGTAGGAGTGAGTGTGAATGTGAACATGTTTGCACGTGTGTATATGATATGGGTGCATGTGTGGGTGTGTTTGTGCAGGTGCACTGGGAGCTTTCAGCATTGAGTCTGTGTGGCATCCAGGCTTTTCTGGATGATGTAGAATCAAACCCCATAATTAATTCCAGTAACTTAGAAATTTTCACTTATGAATACTAAATTCTCCTCACCTAGCAACTGACTGAGCAGGTTGAACAGCACCCTTCGCCGTTCTCCTGCAGAACCCCGTGGAAGGGCCCTGCTTTCTCAGAGTGCTCCTAGCGGTGATGAGGGAGCCCAGCTCATTGCGGTTCGTGCAGAAGGCTGTGTGCCATCTCCGGGACTGCACGGAGAGGCGGAGGCTCAGGCGTGGGATCTGAGCTCAGTGGGCCCTTTAAGGACCGCTGCCTCCTTTCCTCCCTTTGGCATTCAGCATCGACTTACGATGGCTCCCAGTCACAGTCCTTGTCACTGCCTGGCATTACACAGGGCCACAGTCCCTTAACTGAAACACTTGGGACCAGTTGCATTTTGGAATTTGGAATGTTTCTTGATTTCAGAGAGAGAAGAGGGGATGGACTGTTGGGCAGCCCTGATTAACCCTGCAGCGTCTTGGCTCTAGAGGGGCCTACACGGCTGGGAGCGTCTCGGCTCTAGAGAGGGGCCTGCACTGCCGGGAGCATCTCAGCTCTAGAGAGGGGCCTGCACTGCTGGGAAGCCTACACGGCTGGGAGCGTCTCGGCTCTAGAGCCACAGCTGATGCATGGCAACGATGAGCTCTCCTGCTTAGTGCTGATGTGCCTCAGCCCCTAACCCCACTGGTGTCCAGATGAGGAACTTGAGGCTCAGAGAAGCTAGGTCAAGGTGAACACCAGTGTTGAGTTTCAGCCCCAGGTCTACCTGATGCTGCCTCCACATTGACTGAGTTGGCCTGGTCCATTGTGAGGTCAGGTAGAGCCAGGGCCGAGGTGGGGATGCCAAGGTCCCATGCCGCAAAGATGGGTGGGACGGCACAGGAGCCAGTCATCATCCCCAAAGACACAGCTCCGAATACCTCATCCTGAAATCCCAAAGATCAAAATCCCAAAAGTATAAATCTGGAAAAAATAATGTCGATGTTATTTATTTACATTTTTAAAAGGTATGTATTTGAGAAACATAAAAACACAACAGAACATTTCATAGGCCACTTTACACAATAAAATAGGCAATGATAACAGGTATTTTTGCATAAACACTGAGGTAACTAACGACGGCGGCATGGGTGTAGCAGTTATAAGAAGACAGACCATAAAGAAATAAGTCAAAAGAGAAACGTGTACACGTATATCGCTACGGTTACTAATTGTGTGCACCTAGCCCTGTAGCTGTGGTCATCTGAAATATCAGGGATTTTAGACTTGAGGGATTTTGATCTTTAGGGATTTCAACATTCCACATTATGGTGCTTGGGATTGTGTCTTTCAGGATTATGATCCAAACTCAGCTGGGCCTCCCCTCCCTGCCCCAGGATTGTGGAGTGAGAACGTTGCAGCAGGAGAGAACAACGCAGCAAAGCACAGCAGGGGAACCGGAAATGCTCACCTTTTGACAGGGTACTTTTAGTTCTGGGGCCTTATCTTAAGGATATTCCAACATATACAAAAAGATTCATGCACAGAGATATTTACTTTAGTATTATTTACCATAGGAAAAAAGTTGGAAACAATACATTTTATGTTCTGTAAAATGAAAGAACAGTTAAATAAATCATGGCTCTAAGACGACTCCAGGGCTGTGTACGGAAGTTCAGGGACAGAATCAGTTGAGGCTGTTCCACCTGAGCCTAAGGTTCCTCTGCTGTATGTCGGGAATCAGGTGGGGGCCAAGCGAGATCACCACAGTGCAGGCCAGTGTGCAGGGCACAGGTGGGCGCCAGGGAGGGGACGCCGCACAGCCCCATGCTCTCGCCAAAAACGTGCAGCACAATTTGGAAGAAAACGTTTCCATCTGTTAATAAAGAGCAACGGCCTCTGGTCATAAGTGACACATGACCCTTTGCCTGAGTCTTTTTAAATTTTTCCATATGTTCCATATTTTCTACACCAAATGTAAGCTACTTTCATAATCACAAAAACTTAATGGAAAGAGGAGGAGGAGGACGGGGGTGGGGAGTAGTAGCCATGGGTTCGAGCCCTTCCTCTCCGCATGACTTGGATAACACGGTATATTCACACAGCTATTTCCCCATCTATGAACTTCTGAGGTGCTTTTATTAGTTGATGTCTGGGACCCCTAGGAGCTCTCTTTATACCTCATGATATCAAATGCCCACCTTTCCAGCTCCTCTTGGCCTCCTGCCCTTCCTGGAGGGAGATGCGCTCCCTGGAGCTGCTGACTAGGTGGAAGCAGACTGGCTCCTTCAGTGGGTAGGCCAGCCTGCCTGTCTCCCTAGCCCAGTCCCACCGTGCTGGCCTCAGTGGTGGAGGCAGGCATGGAGCCTTGGAGGAACCACTCCTCCCCAGCCGCCACCAACATTTGTGGCACCGAGAAGCACCCGTGCTATTCCGGACAGGGATGGGGTTGGACACCCATGCATAGGGGACCCTACACTCCTAGGCTTGGCTCTGGGCTAAACAGCAGGTGTGGATTTGGGCCTAGGCCTCGGAGAAGCCATCAGCTAGGGCAGAATTCCCATGTGGGCAGGATGTTATTTAGGAATTCCAGGGCTTTCTGTATTCCAGATTTCCTGTATTGTGCATATGTGCGTGCATGTATGTGCCCTCAGCCATGATGTAAAGTGTTTTTCTGGCTGGGGTTGCATCACAGAGTTTGGAAGCCACTGCTCTGCAGATTCTGAGGACCACCTCCCTTATTTCTCACCAAATTCCCATTTCTTCTGTTTTTGTTCCACCCAATGCAAAAAGCATACTGCCTTCTCTTCTGCATTGGTGGGCAGCGGGTCCTGCAGCTCAGGTTTCTCCAGCCAGGGCCCTGAACGTGAGCCTGGTGGCGTGGGCAGGGGGCTGACTCCATGTGGGCCAAAGGCAACCTATCCAGCTCTTCAGAATGGCTTTTCTCTCCTCCCTATAAAACATATTTTCTCTCCTCCCTATAAAGCCTATTTTTGTATTAGGGTGTTTGTTAAAATGAAAACATGAGATCATTGATGCATAACGAGAAGCCGTGTCATTACTTCCCAGGCCCTGTGCAAGGTGCAAATTGGCGTGTTAGTGGCTGTTTGCATCTTTTCAGTTCCTTTCGTCTTTTCTCCTTATCCTGCCCTTTATATGGTTTCTGCTTTAAGTCAAACATTGTGAGTGGATTGATGGACATATGTGTGTGTGAGCGTGTGTGCACAGATGCATGAGAACTGCAGAGAGAGATGGGAGGTAACCAGGGGGATCACTGTTCTCTTCTTCCCAAACATTAGCGTTAGGCTGTTCCGCTTCTGTTCTTGAGAGGGCACCCACATTACTGCTTGGGAGCCTGGAAATGGCCCCACTGAAGCAGCTCTGAGGCCCTGGACACCCTTTTCCTGGTTGTGGCCAGCTGAGTTGTTCATGGTCCTCCCCGTGGGATGTGCTTGGAGCATCTGCTGGTAGCAGAGCCTCAGTTCCTCTCCTGCGTTCTTTCGCTACAGGTGTTAGACCTGCTGCCCACCTGTGACCTGTTTACTGCCAGGGATAGACCTGTGGCCAGTGTGGAAAGCGAGATGCTTTGTCCATACAGCCTGCGGGGCTCAGCCTTCCCGGGGTTGCCCACAGCTAGGCTGGGCCAGGACCCCCAAGCCTGGGAACTTACACCTTTCTCACCTGCTTTCCTAAAGGTGGTTTTCCTTTGTGATCTCTCTCCCTGAACGGCTAAACCACACTCTGAATAGAAAACTGTCTTGAAAACTGCTTTGCACGTACATCTGATAAGGTCCTCTGGAGGGCGACCTCCACTGTCTAGTGGGCGAGGATTGTTTAGCCGCCTTGGCTGAGTCACCGAGCTGCCAAGGGCAGACTGTACCCTGGGCTCACCAGCATGCAAAGATATTTTATTCATTTATTTATTCCATAAATATATATTTATATTATTTATATTTAGAGCCAGTGTATCTCTCTGTCGCTCAGGCTGGAGTGCAGTGGCACTATCTCACTGCAGCCTCAAGCTCCCGGGCTCAAGGAATCCTCCTACTTTGTCCTCCCAAACAAAAATATTTTTAAGGAGCCCACTAGGAGAGTGCTGAGTTTAAAATCTAAGTTCTTGTTTCTTTTTTCTTTTTCACTGATGCATAATAGATGTACATAGTTTCAGGGTACATGTGATAGTTTAATGCATTCATATAATTGTGAAAATCAAATCAGCCTACTTGGAATATCTATCGCCTTAAATATTTGTTTTTGCTTTATGCTAGAACCGTTCCGATTCTTCTCTTCTAGCCATTTTGAAATATACAGTAGGCAATTGCCAACTATGATCTATGTAACACTAGGTCTTATTCCTTCTATCAAACCACGTATTTGTACCCTTCAATCAACTTCTCTTTCTCCCCCTCTCCCCGCTACATTTCCCCACCTCTGGTAACCACGCGTCTACCCTCTGTCTTCACGAGAGCTACTTTTTTAGTAGGTGGGAGAGAACATTCAATGTTTGTCTTTCTGTGCTTGGCTTATTTCACTTAACATAATGATCCCTAGTTCCATCTTGTACAAATAACAGGCTGTCGTTCCTCTGTATGGCTGAATAATATTCCACTGTGTATACACACCACGTTCTGTTTATCCATCATCCGCTGATGAACTCAGAGGCTGATTCCGTATTTTGGCGATTGTGAGTAGTCCCGCAGTAAACATGAGAGTGCAGATGTCTTTACGATATATTGATTTTGTTTCTTTTGACTATAGGCCCAGTTAGTGAAATTACTGGATCATACAGCAGTTTTACTTTTAGATGGTTTTTTTTTTTTTTGTTTGTTTTTTGAGATGGAGTCTTGCTCTGTCACTAGGCTGGTGTGCAGTGGTGTGATCTTGGCTCACTGCAACCTCTGCCTCCCGGGTTCCTGTGTTTAAGCGATTCCCCTGCCTCAGCCTCCCGAGTAGCTGGGATTTATAGGTGCGCACCACCACGCCCAGCTAATTTTTTGTATTTTAGTAGAGACGGGATTTCACCATGTTGGCCAGGATGGTCTCGATCTCCTGACCTTGTGATCCGCCCGCCTCCACCTCCCAAAGTGCTGGGATTACAGGTGTGAGACACCGCGCCCGGCCAACTTTTATTTATTTATTTATTTTTTAAGGAGGAGTCTTGCTCTGTCACCCAGGCTGGAGTGCAATGGTGCGCTCTCTGCTCACCGCAATCTCCACCTCCTGTGTTCCAGTGATTCTCCTGCCTCAGTCTCCCAAGTAGCTGGGATTACAGGGTCGCACCACCACGCCTGGCTAATTTTTTATATTTTTAGTAGAGATGGGGTTTCATCATGTTGGCCAGGCTGGTCTCAAACTCCTGACCTTGTGATCCCCCTGCTTTGGCCTCCCAAAGTGCTGGGACCACAGGCGTGAGCCACCGTGCCCGGCCCCTTTTGGTTTTTTGAGGAGCCTCCATCTGTTTTCCATAGTGGTTGTACTAATCAACGTTCCCACAACAGTGTGTGAGGGTCCCCCTTTCTCCACATCCTCGCCAGCATCCCTTATTCCCTGCGTTTTTGACGAAAGCCATTTTAACTGAGGTGAGAGAAGACCTCATTGCAGTTTTTTATTTGCGTTTCTCTGATGATTAGTGATGTTGAGCATTTTTTCATGTACCTGCTGGCCATTTGTACATCTTCTTTTGAGAAATGTCTACTCAGGTCTCTTGCCCATTTTAAAATTCGATTAATTGTTTGCTATTGTTTGAGCTCCTGGTTATGAATCCCTTTTCAGGTGGGTAGCTTGCAAGTATTTTCTCCCATTCTGTGGGTTGTCTCTTCAGTTTGTTGACTTTTTCCTTTGGTCTGCAGAGGGTTCTTAGCTTGGTGTGATTTCACTTGTCTGTTTTTGCTTTGGTTGCCTGTGCTTTTGGGGCCCTACTGAAAAAGTCTTTGCTGAGAACAATGTCCTGGAGCACTTCCCTAATGTTTTCTTCCAGTAGTTTTATACTTTCAGGTCTCAGTTTTACCTTTAATCCATTCTGATTTGATTTCTGTGTATGGTAAGAGAGACGGGTCTAGTTTCATTCTTCTGCATATCTTTATCTAGTTTCCCCTGCACCACTTATGGAAGAGACCGTCCTTTCGCTCGTATGTTGTTGGTGCCTTTGCTGAAGATGAGCTGGCTGTAAATGTGTGGATTTATATCTGGGTTCTCTATTCTGTTCCACTGGTCTATGTGTCTGTTTTACGTGATTACCAGGCTGATTACCAGGCTGATAGGTTGGCTCATGCCTGTAATCCCAGTACCTTTGGAGGCCCAGGTGGGAGGATCACTTGAAGCCAGGACTTCAAAACCAGCCTGGGCAACAAAGCAGGACCCCATCTCTACAATGTTTTAAAAAATTATTTGGTGCAGTGGCATACACCTGTAGTCCCAACTACGCAGGAGGCTGAGGTGGGAGGATCCTTTGAGCCTAGGAGTTTGAGGCTGCTCTGAGCTGTGATTGTGCTACTGCACTCCAGCCTGGTTGACAGAGCAAGGCCCTGTCTCTTAAAAAAAAAAAAAAAAAACTATTGCAAGAGGAGAGAGAGAGACTGAATTCAACTCTCAATACAACAGAGACAAGTGGGGATAGCCAATGAGCAGGGTGAGGGAGGTGATGAAAAGTTGTTGAAAGGAGCTTGGTTAGTTAGCAAGGGTGGGGAAGATTCTCACTAAGGACCTTAGCAGCATTCCTTGCTAGCACTGAGCTCAGCAGGCCAAGGATGAGGCTTCATCAAGGAGAAGGCTCAAAGGAGCCTGAGTGGAGTTTGGTCAAGGAGAGCGTCTTTGTCATCCTTGCAATGACTCATTTTATAGGTAATTAAGTAGGGGGTTCAGACAGGTCAAAGACTTACCAAAAAGAGGAAATTGTGTCCATGTGGCTGGTGGCTCACCCCAGGAACTGACAGTGGCTTACTCTCAGAAACTCAGAGTGTGCATGTCTCTTTGAATCCGTATCTGTGTGTGGGTGGGTGTGTCTGTCTGTGTGCGTGCCTCAGTCTCTTCTGAATTTCTCTCCCAATCCCCGTCTCTCTTTCCTCGGGTTGGTGTTTCCCTCCTGCTGGCCTCTGGCCAGCTATTTCTGGAAGTGTCAGCTGCTCTGTCTTCCTGCCCCTGTCTCCACCATCACGTCTGTGTCTGACTCCCTTTCTTTCCCATACAAAACCCCTAATGCAAGTCCTACTGTTTCTGTAACTGGCCACTGCCTATAACAAATCTTTGCTTAGGTTGTGTTTCTTTGTAGAATAGACTGATGTACTGTGTGCTTGATTTTTACAAGATGAGCACAATACCTTATCTTTCTTCTTTATTAAAAAAAAGGAAAAATCCAAACACAAGATTAATATCTCGTCATGGACTGTGCCCCGCTCGAGCCTCTCCACATGCAGCAGGAAGGAAAGTGGAGGGAGCTGCTCCTTTCCGTAGCCGGGGTGCCCACCCCAACCAGGCTGCCTCTGCCACCCAAGACAGAGGTTCTCTGATAATAATTTGTGGGGCTTGTTTCCAGAGACCACACCTGAAGCTGCCAACTCCCCGGAGGGAAGGTCCTGATTAATGGCCGATGAATTTCTCCTTAAGGCCCTGAAACTGCCTACTCAGAACCAAGCCAGTTTTTCCTGCCTGTCCTGTTTGGGCAGGCAGAGGAGGCAGCTAGAAACCCATTATGCAGGGGATGGGGGTAAGTGGAGGAGGGAGGGGTCGGGGGAGGAGTGGGGAGGAGGAGGAGGGAAACAGGAAACCCCAGGCTTTGGCTATGATGGGGTCAGCCTTTCTACACCATTCCGGGATGCTGGTGTCCACCACTGCTGCCTGGGCACGGGGAACAGAGAATCTGCCTGGTGGGAGCAGACAAGAGGTTCGAGGACCAGAGCTCATCCTCTTCGGTGTGTGCCTGGGAGGAGGTGTAGGTGCAGCCAGTGGGGTATGATTAAAAAGAAGGGACGCGAGTTTAGGGGACAGCCGCCCACGTGCACCAGCTCTCCGTGTGCCAAAATCTTGCCTGTCAGGGACCAGGATCCCACTTCACAGTTAGCAAATAGCAGCTCAGGGACATTAAGCAACTCGCCCAGCATCCCACCAGCAGACAGTCTCGCCTTCAGGGTCGTCTGTGTCTGTTAAAGTCGAGTCTAGTTTCGGGTCTCAGAGCACCTCCCTAAAGCTGCCGTAAACCAAGAATAAAATTCTAAGCCCCACAGCCGATCGCGTGGACCCCGCCTCTGGGCCAAAGGGATTCCAGAGAAACCTGAAGAACTAGTTCAGGCCGTGATGAGGAGGAGTGGGGGCTGGACAGGCCTCATTGTACCCTCCTCCCTTTGGAATTTGGGCAGAACTGACCAGAACCAACATTAAAACAGAGATCTGAAGACTGACAAGGCTCTCTAGCAATAAGATACCAAATTCCAACCTGATTCCAGTGCAGCATCACATGACAGACAGAGGCCATGAAATCAATATTTTACCTCAAAATATATTTCTTTGACATACTTTGAAATGGCCCTGCCAAGCTGTCTCTTGTGGGGGACATTTACATTCTGTAGAGAATCCCTTCCCTTTCCAGGTCTTTCTCTGATCCTGAAGACATTGGCTGAGAGCCTAGCACCTTCTATGGGTCTGAACAGGAAACATTTGCCATCTATTGTCTCTAAGGGTGGCCACCTATGAAACTTCATCTACATAATAAGAACCTTGGTCTGCACAGTCTCTTATCTTAACCCAGACTCTCCTTTCTATTGATAGCAGGTCTGTAGATAATAATTCTTTCAACCAATTGAGAATCAGAAAATCTTTGAATCTATCTATGACCTGTAAACCCCATTACTTTGAATTTTCCTCCTTCCAGACCAAACCAATGCACAACTCCTACGTACTGATGGTGGTCTTACGTTTCCCTAAGTTTCTGCCGACTAAACTGTGCACACGTTCTCAGGACCTCCTGAAGCTGCGTCACAGGCGCTGATCAAAGAACACAACCAAGGTGAGTGTCAATCATTTCAAGAAATCTGTTTGCAAGGTTAAGGACACACCTGAGAAAAGAACAGAGAACCACAGGAAAAACTGTGGTCCGTGCTTTTCCCAAAGATTGTCTGGGGACCTCAGTAAGTAAAGGGGAGAAGTGTGGGTGTTGGGGAAAGGGGAAGAAGTGGAAAAAATGGGTGTGGGTAAATCAGAGGCAAATGGTTGCATTCTTCTGTCTTTGGTCAGCGTTCACTGAATACACATTTTACATGTGATGGAGGTAGAGGCAGGGATGTAGCTTTTTTATCTTTGTGTAATAGCTATCTTATTTAGGAACCAGATGGGAAGCAGGTTTGCATAAGCCAGTTCCCAGCTTGGCTTTTCCCTTTGGCTTAGTGAGTCTGGGGTCCCAGGATTTATTTTCCGTTCTCACAGGTTGTGGTCCTCACATTTGGCTCAAAATATTCAAAATTTTTTCCAGAGTTTGGCCTTTTCTTCAGCACTGGGAATTGTGATCCAAAGCTTTTCCTGATGAGGCACAAAGTTGGAGAAACAAAACGCAAACTAAGCAACAATGAAACAGAACAGAGTGAATCTGCTGTAGCTCAAGAGAGGACGTAGCTGCCCCCACCCCGCATCCCTGGGCTCGGGTTTGCCTTGCTGACCTCTGCTGCCACCTGGTGCCGCACAGAGAAACTGAGGAGAAACCACATCAGTCTCCTTCAGCCTCAGCTTCACATCTGTGGGTCAAGCAACCCTTTCAGAAGCTGTATAATGTGGGAAAGCTTTCCTCTCAGGAAAATGCACACATCCAACTTTGAGAAGATGCCCTTGGGGGCGCTTCAAGGATCCTAGATAATAACCCCCTTTCCCGAACATCCAAGAACCTAAGTTTTTTTTTTTTTTTTGAGAAAGTCTCGCTCTCTCTCCCATTCTGGAGTGCAGTGGCGTGATCTTGGCTCACTGCAAGCTCCACCTCCCAGGTTCAAGCCATTCTCCTGCCTCAGCCTCCCAAGTAGCTGGGGCTACAGGCACCTGCCACCACACCCGGCTAATTTTTTTGTATTTTTAGTAGAGACGGGGTTTCACCGTGTTAGCCAGAATCGTCTTGATCTCCTGACCTTGTGATCCACCCGCCTCGGCCTCCCAAAGTGCTGGGATTACAGGTGTGAGCCACCACACCTGGTCCAAGAACCCAACTTTTAGATCTAGAGTGATGTCAGCATGACATTGATTTCCTGAGGCCCAGGGGTGAAGGAGCTGAGGACAGCAGAGGGGTGAAGGAAGTCAGCTACAGACAGCAGCAGCTGATGCACAGGCCTCCCAGCGCCTGAAGTCACCCGGAATTGGGAAGTGCTCAGAAGCTTACAAAGCTGCCTCGAGGTGGGAACACAACATTAATCCAAGAGTAGATCCCTGATCCTATAAAAATGTACTAGATGCAGTGGGGGCATTTTAAATGAGCAGGGCAGGACAGACAGATAAACAGAAGGACAAACAGTATTGGGATTGGGATAAATGCTCAGCTTTTGCCCAAATCTTAGTGACTTAAGCATCACTTATTTGCTCACGATTCTGTGGCTGGACCATTTGGTTTGGCTCACAGGGCAGGGACTGTGCTGGTCTTACCTGAGCAGACCTGCATGTCTGCGGTCAACTGGGTTGGCAGAGACAGAGTGACTGTCTTCCTCCAGGAAGCAGCAGGTTAACTGGTTGGCAGAGACAGAGGGACTGAGGGACTGTCTCCCTCCAGGAAGCAGCAGGTTAACTGGTTGGCAGAGACAGAGGGACAGAGGGACTGTCTTCCTCCAGGAAGCAGCAGGTTGGCTCTGGTTCCTTCGTGGGGCAGCTGGTCTCCAGGGCAGCAAGAGAGACCAAGCCCCCGTGCACATTCTACAGCCTCTGTGCACATCAGACTTGTTAATATCCCATTGGCCAGTGCAAGTCACACGGCCAAGCCCAGATTAAGGAGTGGAAAGATGGACGCTATCTCCTCCTGGGAGAGGAGGCAAAGGAGGTGAGAGCATTATGTGGCCACTTATGTTTGCAATCTACCATACTTAGCCCTTTGAGAAAAGAATTAACTGAGAAACTTGCTTCAAATAGGGCATTCAGTAAAATGAAGCCCCAATTGAAGTAAAATGCATATATAAAAAATGAAACTGTGACCGATTTTAAGGACAGTATTGGCAAATATTTCTGTGCTCTTGGAGGAGAAGACCCTTATTGGCATGACGTGTCAGAAACCACAATGAAAGAATTATTTTAACTTGCATTCATAAAAATTAAAATTATTCATTAAAAACATCGTGAATGAAATTAAAAGTCAAAATGTAAGCCAGAAAATTATTTACAACATATGTGTCAGGAAAAGACAATACCCTTCAGACTTTGAGAGTTTACATCAGAAAGAAAATAGCAAATGACATGATCCAAACTTGATAAAGGACATGAAAAAGAGCCAGCACTTAGTATGTTTTCTGAATGAATAAGTAGCCAACAGCACATGAAAATGTGTGTAATCCACTTGTAAGCAGAGAAATGCAAATTAAAACAGTAAAGTGTCATTTTCACTTCCTGGATTGGCAAAGGGTTTTATGTATTTTACTGACAGTGCTCAACATTAGCAGTAAACAACAAATGGTGAGTAAATACGAGCTTCGGAACCTCAGGGAAATGATCTCCTTATTTCAACCTGTAGATTCCTTCCTACAACCAGTGTAGAGCAGAGTACCAGGACGGGCCATTGAGCACCCTGGTGTTGAGAGCAAGTGGCCTCTAGTCAGAGTTGGGTCAGGGTCACTGTGAGTGGGCTGCCCCCAACATGAGTCAGCTGTCTAGGACTAGTTTATCTCTGCTTCTCACTTTACTGGTATTATGGGGCAGCTCCTGCTGTCTTCCAATTTGGTGTCTTCCAAATCGGCACCGTCTTTTAAAGTTGAGTTTCTTGTTATTCTCACCTGATATACCTTATTTATCCCACACCCACCCCAATAACATATCGTGCTCAGTGTTATCTTTGAGACAACACTTGAATTTTACTCAGCCTGGCGTGCTCTTCACATGTCTTGTCTAGATCCAGTTCGGACTCATTCTTCAGCCGTGCATCAGTAAATGGGGGCTAGGTTAAACTGTGGTGACAAACAACCTCCAAATTTCAGTGGCTCAAAAATCTTCTTCCTCATTTATTTACATTTCATCATGGGTCAGGTGAGAGGTAGCTCTGTGCTGTGTCATCCTAACACAGGAATCCAGACGGAAGGAGGGACAATCAGTAAGATCCCCATTGCTATAGAAAAGAGAAAAAAGTATGCGGAATAGAACTCTGTTTCTTGGAGATTTCTCCTGAAAAAGTCACATGTTATTTCTTCTCACCTCCATTGGCAAAAAAAAAGTCACGTGGCCATGTGAAAATGTAAGTAGGCGGGATGGAACAGTCAGAATGCATTCATAAAATATGAACTGAAAATATCTGGAGAACAGCACCTATGACTACCACGAATGCCAACATGCATCCCTAACAACCCAGTGCTGTCACCCTCCAAACTTTTTATGTCTTGCAAAGTATTAGAACTTCTTATCTGAAGCCATACCACTCAGAGGGAATGCAAAATACATATTGACATCTCCTTTAGGATGTCCTTAGAGAATTCAAGGAAAAGAAGTTAAATAATTTAAAAGTGCTTTTGGGTACAGCTATTTAGCACTAGAGGGTAAGATTAGACATAGATTGTAAAGATAATAATAGGGTTAGGGATAGGATTAGGATCTGGGTCAGAGTCAGGGCCAGAAGTATGGTTAGAGGTGGGGTCATGGTCAGGGTCGAGATCAAAGTCAGGGTCAGAATTAGGGACCAGGATAGGGATCAGGATTTAGGTTCAGTGTCAAAGTCTTGGGACAGGGTTAGGGTTAGGATTAGAACCAGAGCTTTGTTCTCCTCAGGACCCACCCGAGGACGGGTCACCATGGCTTTGGAGCACCTGGTAGTGTGGCATGTCCACAGTGAAGACCAGAGTTTCATTGTCCTTAAGACTGACCTGGGGAGACGTGGCTGCAGGCCATTGAGGAAGGTGAGGAAAAACTTCCTGTCTGCTCCCCGTGTGCTGAGGAGGGAGCTCTGCCGTGGGCTTTACTTTCACATGTTATATTCCACAAGTCTTGTTTTACAAAAGCATCCCTTCCTTGAGGCTTCGGCTGCTCATCGCTGCTCATCATCATAGCGTGCCATAACATATAGTAAGATTTGGGTTTGTTTCTGGGGAGAGATCTTGGTATAGAGAAAGGAGAAATGCTTAGAGCCACCATCAGGACAGTTGGGATGAAAGTTGGGTATAGGCAGAGGCTGGAGGAAACATGTGCATCCCCTGTAAACACTTTTATTCATGTTTTAATTACTCATTTTTCTTACAGTGTTAAATTAGTAAAGATAGTATTGAAAAATTGAAAAGTAGGCATATTAAAACCTGCAACACTATTTAAGCTTAGATATATTATTTGTACCTCATCAACATTTTTTATTTTGTTGAGAAAGTTTAAGGTTAATTGACAGCATATTTCTAATAGTAGATAGAATAACATCCCTTTTATAAACATTGACATCCTACATTACATGTGTGAACCCTGAAAATCTGAGACAGCTCTCAGATTTTTTAGAAAGTTTATTTTGCCAATCTTGAGGATGTGCACCTGTGATGCCTCCTCAGGAGATCCTGACAACATGGGCCCAAGGTGGTCGGGGCACAGCTTGGTTTTATACACTTTAGGGAGACACGAGAGATCAATCAATATGTGTAAGATGTACATTGGTTCAGTCCAGAAAGGTGAGAAGGCCAGACAGGGGGCTTCCAGGTCACAGGTAGGTAAGAGACAAATGGTTTCATTCTTTTGCATTGCTGATTACCCTCTCCACGTGAGGCAATCAGGTATGCATTTATCTCGGTGATCAGATGGGTGTCTTTGGATAGAATGGGAGGCGGGTTTGCCCTAGGCAGTTCCCAGCTTGACTTTTCCCTTTAGCTTAGTGATTTTGAGTCCCCAAGATTTATTTTCCCTTCGTAAGTGTTCCTATGAGTATTAATTATTCATTGTGTCTTTTATTACACAAATAAGGCACAGATTTTTAAGAAATCATCAACTTCATGGCTACCTATATAGACATAATTACATAGAAGCTCAACTAAATTTGCAAACATTCCAGAGTTTGGGTTTCCAATAATTCTTTGTGATTCTTTAAAAGGTAAAGTATTTTTTCCCATAAAACATAGCAACATTTAAAATCAACCGTAGAATGTCCTGCCATTTTTGTTTCTCTAGTTTCCTCATTTTCTGCAAAGCCTCACTGAGGAAATTGACTTTGAATATCCTTTTAGACTCTTGTTTTAGAAAGCATTGTGGTAAAACATTGAATCATCGTGGTCACAAGTTCTGTTCACATTCTTTCTTTCTTTGAATATTTTTTCCCAGTGGCCAATATTTGATTCTGTTGTATCATGGCTAAAAGGTAGGCATGGCAACAAAATAAAGACAAGAAGTCTTTGGAATAATTGATCCCATCACAATGAATCAATTTGCCATTGGAACATGTTTTTACAAAGTCACTCTTTTGAAAATATTCAGCTATGACTTGAAACAGAGTCTGTATGGTTAATATTTTTCCTGGTCTAAGATGAACAGCATTTTAGAGAATGAACCCAGGACACAACCACAGCACAAGAAAAACATGTGATAATTAAGTTTACACATGTGTGTTACTACAGTAACAGAAAACATGTAAAGAACATTTGATTTATGTATCAGTCTGCACTGTTTAATTTTTTGTGTCATAATTGCTCTTATTTTAAAAAACAGGACTAGTTAACAGTGTCAATTACTAGTAATTCATGGTATAAATAATTAAACAAGGAAGTGTTAAAAAAAGTGTTTTAAATAAAGTTTTATTTTACGTCTTTTTTTTACTTACACAGAAATCGTCAAAAAAAAAAAGAGATTTCCCATGTAGCCGCAACCTAGTTTCCTCTCTTATTAACATCTTCTATCAGTGTGTCTCACATGGCTTATTAATATCTTACATAATTTGCCGCAGTTAATGAACCAATACTGATAGACTGTTATTAACTAAAGTTCATATTTCATTTGGATTCCCTTAGTTCTATCTTACTCTGACCCAGGATCCCATCCAGGATCCCACACGACATGTAGTCATCACATAGGCTCTTCCTGGCTGTGACAGTGTGTTAGGCTTTCCATCTCATGATGACCTTCATAGCACTGAGGAGGATTGGTCAGGATTTTTGTAGAATGTCCCCCATTGTCACTTCATGTTCTCAAGGTGAACTGTCAGCTTTGGTGTTCACTTGGATCATTTGGCAGAGCTACTGTTTGTCAGATTTCTCCACTGTGAAGTTATTTTTCCTCCTTGTCCATACTGCATGTGTTCTTTTGGAGCAAGTCACTATGCAGAGCCCACACTTACGGAGTGAGGAGTTGGCTCCACCTTCTTGATGGCTGAGTGTCTACATCAGTTATTTGGAATTCTTTTGCAAAGGAGATTTCTATGCAACTCCATTTGCTTATTCACCTAGGTATACAAATACAGACACCTAGATAATTACTTTAAGCTTTAGTTATTATTCGACACTATAGCATTATGTTGCACAATTCCTTCCTGTGTTGGCCATCGGTAGCTGTTTTTATTGGCTTTTATTTTTGTTTGATATATTTTAATTTTTTTAGTACTTACTTTCTGATACTTCCAGATTATCCTGGCTCCTATATTTACTGTCCCAGTTCTAGTATCAGACATTTCTTCAAAGAGCCTGATTCCTTTCAGAATGGTGGGAAAACTTACATGTGGCTGCTGAATGCACATTGTATCTTGTCCCTCATTAGCAATGCTAGGAAGCATATGTGCGTGTCTAACCTACCTACACACACCTAATTATAAAGTTTTCTATGTAGAACTGTGTGTATCTATATTAAACTAAGCATAAGTTTACGTTGATGTCTCCACCTCTGATCTACTATCACAGGAATCATTCTAGCCTTCTCGTCTTGCTAATTTGTAACCTCCCACTTCAACAGTGAGAAAGCTGGTTCCCACCATCTGCGACTTATGTAAGTCATTGTTTTACTCCAGATACAGACACTGTGGTTTTACAATTGTTCACAATTGCTTCTGTTGGAAAGAACTTTATAAAATGGAATCCAATAATGAAGTATAGTTCACGTGCCTTCAGCCTACAGATTCTATTCATTTTCAAAGTTTTTACCTAGATTTGTGTCTTAGTCCATTTTGTGCTTCTGTAACAGAATACCTGAGGCTGCGTAATTTATAAGTAAAACAGTTTCATTTGGTTCACAATACTGGTAGCTGGAATGTCCGAGATTGGGCAGTTGCATCTGGCGGGGCCTCAGTCTTTTTCACCTCATGGTGGAAAGTGGAAGGGGAGCAAGGGGTGCACCAGAGATCACATAGCAGAAGTGAAAGCAAGAGGGAAGCCAAGGAAGCCAGACTCTTTTTAATTACCTACTCCTGCAGGAATTATCTATTCCTGTGAGAACAGAACTCACTCACCCCCATGGAGGACATTAATCTATTCATGAGGGATCCGTCCCCACGACCCAAACACCGTCCACTAGGCCCCACCGCCCCACACTGACACAGTGGGAGTCAAATTTCAACATGAGTTTTTGTGGGGACAAACCACATCCAAACCATCGTAATTTATAGCATAAATTCTTTTTCACATGATGTATTCTGTCCTGGGATACTCCACATCCTGAGTAATTTGATTTAATTTGAATAGAGTTTGCTTTAACCATTTGGCTGTAAAATTCTGCATATTTCGACAAATGCATTGTGGCAGATATCCCACTATTAAAGTATCATATGGAATGCCTCAAACCCCCACCCCATGGAGCCAATGGCTTCCCATCTGTGTAGTTTGCCTTCCCCAGTGTCTCATTAAATGAGGTCACACTGTGTGTATCCTCCTCAGACTGTCTTCTTCCACTTAGCAATGTGCATGCAAGATTCACTCATGTCTTTGTGTGTGTTGATATCTTGTTCCTTTCTATGGCTAAATAGTATTCCATTACATGAATGTAGCACAATTTGGTTATGCATTTTGGGGAGTAGAACCTTCCTCTTCTAACTTTGTTCCAGGGTTGGAGACCTTCAAATTAACTGACAATAGATACATTAGTAGGAGAGACAATACTTGGCTTCTTGTTCCCCAAGTATCATTGTGGGACAAAATTCATCAGATGGCAGGATCCAGTTTACAAAGAGGTAAAAATAGCCCAGAAACAAGAAACAAGACTAGAATCTGATAACTCTCAATGGCTATAGTTTTCCTTTAAAAAAATTTTTTTTGAGACAGGGTCTGGCTCTGTCGCCCAGGCTGGAGTGCAAAGGTGCAATCTCAGCTCACTGCAACCTCTACCTCCTGGGTGCAAACGATCCTCCCTCCTCAGCCTCCTGATTACCTGGGACTACAGGCACATGCCGTCATGCCCATCTAATTTTTGTATTTTTGGTAGAGACGGGGTTTCTACCAAAATATTCGATTTTTTCTGTGGCAGACAACATTTATTTATTTATTTATTTAGAGACAGAGTCTTGCTCTGTCGCCCAGGCTGGAGTGCAGCGGTGCGATCTCGGCTCACTGCAAGCTCTGTCTCCTGGGTTCACGCCATTCTCCTGCCTCAGCCTCCCGAGTAGCTGGGACTACAGGTGCCTGCCATCACGCCCGGCTAATTTTTTATATTTTTAATAGAGATGGAGATTCACCGAGTTAGCCAGGATGGTCTGGATCTCCTGACCTTGTGATCCACCTGCCTCAGCCTCCTAAAGTGCTGGGATTATAGGCATGAGCCACTGTGCCTGGCACAACATTTAAAGTAATAATTGGAATTATGACTCATTACTCTATAGTGGCACATAGCATGGATAAGGAGGACATTGACAAACTTCCAGGAATTTTATATAATTTCTGAAAACATAACATTTTACCCATACAAATATAACACAGGGAAGGTTAGGTATCTCTTTTTATTTGTATCTTCTGTATGGTTTTCCTTATAAAAAATGCAACCTACTTTACTTGCGAAACATGCCCTACTTTTCTTGCATGCTTTGCATAGAGTTGTTTCTAGTTATTCTATTATTTCTAGTAGTTTTATTTACATATATTGATTATAATTTTAATACTTAGTAATCTTTTATTTTCCAGAGAAAACTAGGAAGTAGACAGTTATAAACTGTCATATATTAGCATTCTATAGTAGGTTAGAAAATGTATGAATATACCATCTCCCAACATCTAGAGGGATGTGTTTCCTCATAATACAATTCCTCAGTGTGGCAGAAAAAAACATGTTTATTAACGGGCCAAAATATCTTTAGTCTCTCTGTAAAAACAGGAAGCCAAAAGTATATAAACTTGAATTATTTATGTTCAGTAATTAATGTTTTAGTATTGTATCTTATTTATAAATGGTCTAGATATTTAATGCAAATCTTTTACTTAGCTTAACTTTAAGGTTAAAAATTACCAAAAGTACTTTGGAAACTATTCTTAGGCAGATTTACTGTAGACAAATTATTTTTGAAATAATGTTTTTCGCTTTTCACAAGACGGCACCGAAAGCGAAGGAAGCTCCTGCTCCTCCTAAAGCCGAAGCCAAAGTGAAGGTTTTAAAGGCCAAGAAGGCAGTGTTGAAAGGTGTCCGCAGCCACACGCAAAAAAGAAGATCCGCATGTCACCCACCTTCAGGCGGCCCAAGACACTGCGACTCCGGAGGCAGCCCAGATATCCTCGGAAGAGCACCCCCAGGAGAAACAAGCTTGGCCACTATGCTATCATCAAGTTTCCGCTGACCACTGAGTCGGCCGGAAGAAGATAGAAGAAAACAACACGCTTGTGTTCACTGTGGATGTTAAAGCCAACAAGCACCAGATCAGACAGGCTGTGAAGAAGCTCTATGACAGTGATGTGGCCAAGGTCACCACCCTGATTTGTCCTGATAAAGAGAACAAGGCATATGTTCGACTTGCTCCTGATTATGATGCTTTCGATGTTGTAACAAAATTGGGATC